>NC_000006.12:92454831-92605770 GCF_000001405.40 Homo sapiens | reverse complement strand
TTTTATCAGATGCCTTTTCAGCACTGATTGAAATGATCTCATGGTTTTCATTCTTCAATCTGTGGATATGATGTGTCACATTGATTGATAATCTTTCTAATGTATTATTGAAATTGGCTTGCTATCATTTTGTTGAGGATTTTTGCATCAATATTTATCAGAGATATTAGCCTGTACTTTTCTTTGTTTGATGTGTCTTTGTCTGGCTTTGGTATCAAAGTAATACTGGCCTAGTAGAATGAGTTTGGAAGTATTCCCTCCTCCTCTATTTTTTGAAATATTTTGAGTAGAATTGGTATTAGTTCTTCTTTCAATGTTTGTTAGAATTAAGGAGTGAAGCTATCAGGTCCCAGAATTTTCTTTACTGAATGATTTTTTATTATAGCTTTGATCTTGCTAGTTGTTATTGGTCTCATCAAGTTTTACATCTCTTCCTTGTTCAATCTTGGTAGGTTGTATGGGTCTAGTAATTTGTCCATTTCTTCTAGATTTTTCAGTTTGTTCACATATAGTTGCTCAAAGTAAACACCAATAATCCTTTGAATGTCTGCAGTGTTTCCTTTTTCATTTCTAATTTTGCACATTTGGATATTCTCTTTTTTTCTTACACTGACTAAAAGTTTGTCAATTCTGTTTCACTTTTCAAAAAACCAACTTTTTGTTTCCTTGACCTTTTATATATATATTTTTTTATTCCAATTTCATTTATTTCTGCTCTGATATTATCTTTTCTTCTGATAATTTTGGGTTTGGTTTGTTCTTGCTTTTCAAGTTCTTTAAGATGAATCTCTAGATTATTTGGTGTTATTTATCTTTTTTGAGGTAGGCATTTTTAACTATAAGCTTCTCTCTGCTGTTTTTGCTGTATCCAATAGGTTTTGATAGATTGTGTTTTCATTATCATTTGTTTCAAAAATTTTTCAATTTTCTTCTTAATATCTTCACTGATCCACTGGTTATTTAGCAGCATATTGTTAAATTTCCATGTGTTTGTATAGATTTCTAAATTTTACTTGTTATTTTTCAGTTTTATTATATTTTGGTTGAAGAAGATACTTGATATTATTTCCATTTTTTTTGACTGTTTTAAGACTTGTTTTATGACTTAACATATGATCTATCCTTAAGAATGATTCATGTGCTGAGAAAAAGAATGTGTATTCTGCAGTTATTGGATTAAATGTTCTGTAAATATCTACTAGATCAATTTGTTCAATATTTCAGATTAAGTTTGATTTTTTTGTTGTTGTTGTTAATTTTCTATCTGGAAGATCTGTCCATTGCTGAAAGTGAGCTGTTGAAAGTCTTCATCTGTTACTACACTGGGGCCTATCCCTCTCTTTATCTCTAATAATATATCTTTTAAATATCTGGTTGCCCCTGTGTTTGGTGTATGTATACTTAAAATTGTTATAACTTCTTGATGAATTGACCCCATTGGCATTATATAGTGACCTTCTTTGTCTCTTCTTAGAGTTTTTGTCTTGATATCATTTTGTCTGATGTAAGTATAGTGACACCCGCTCTTTTTTTGATTTCCATTGGCATGGAATATCTTTTTCCGTCCCTTTATTTTGTGTATGTGTGTCCTTATGGGTGAAATGTCTTTCTTGTAGGCAACAGATCAATGGGTCTTATTTTTTTTCATCCATTCAGCCAGTTGATGTTTTTTGATTAGAGGATTTAGTCTATTTACATTCAATGTTATTATGGATATTAAGGACTTACTCCTGCGATTTTGTTATTTGTTTTCTGGTTGTTTTGTATTCTTTTCTTTCTTCTTTCTTTCATTCCTGTCTTTCTTGAGTGAAGATGACTCTCTGGTGATATGATTTAGTTTCTTCATTTTAATTTTTGTGTATCTATTGTATGTTTTTCGGTTTGAGGTTACCATGAGTCTTGTAAATACTATCTTATAAACAATAATTTTGACCTCACCACTTACCAGTGTTTCCATAAACAAACAAGCAAAAAGAAAAAGAATAAAAATTTGCCTTAACTTTATTTCCAAGCTTTTTAACTTTTTGTTGTTTTCACTTATATCTTATTGTACTGAGTATATCTTGAAAAGTTATTGTTATTATTATTTCTGATTTTTTTAGACTGTCCCCTAGAATAAGGGTAGTTTACACACCACAGTTACAGTTCTATAGTATTCTGTGTTTTTCTGTGTCGTTTCTATTACCAGTAAGTTTTGTACCTTCATGTGATTATTACTGCTCATTAATGTCCTTTTCTTTCTGGTTGATGTACTCCCATTAGTACTTCTTGTAGGATGGGCCTGGTATTGATGAAATCCATCAGGTTTTTTTTTTTTTTTTTTTTTTTTTTGGTATGGGGAAGGCTAGAAGAGGTCTATAAAGTGAAGTTACAAGTAGAATGTGAGAGTTAAGAATCGATGAATGAATGTGGAGGCAATATGCACATGTGTGGCACCAAGATAACCACAATTTTAAAATTTGAAAAATAACTTTGAAGTATAAAATTAGGGAAAAAATATTTAATTAATGAGATAATTCACTTGTAAGAAGCTACCCCAGAAGCGATTTTTGCCAAGTGTTAAATAATATCAAGATTAAATGATTGGAGACCTTCCCTGAAAAGAACATGAGTAAATTTAGGACAATGTTTCAGCAACTCTCTGGAATCAACTGCCTGATTTAGAATTCTTGCTGTATTACTCACTAAATATCAAACACTTGAAAACAGTTATTATCTCTCTGAGCTTCCTCAGTTTGCTAATTTTTTAGAAAGAGAATTGTAATAGAAATAACTAATATATGGGATAGTTGAGAAGCTTTAATGTGTCATTGTGTGTAAAGATACTAACACAATGCCTGGGAAATGGAAAGCACTTGATAAGTATCACTGTGTATTGTTGTTCAAGCTGTCTGAAGATATAGCTTAGCGTATGTCAATGTAGTCCCTTGACTGTTGGCAATCAAATCACATTTTGTTTTATGATATTCTGTGGTAAGAAATTTGTGCATTTTACATATGTAACTCTGGTTATTTTTAAACACAATTTCAATGCCTTTTCTTCATGTATTTATGCCTTTATTTATCCAACTATTTATTTATTTATTTGATATTTATTTTAGGCTTAAGCATACATATGCAGGTTTGCTGTATGTGTAAGTTGCCTGTGACATGGGTTTGGTGTACAGATTATTTTGTCACCCAAGTAATAAGCATAGTACCCCTTAAGTAGTTTTTTCAATCTTCACCCTCCTCCCACTCTCCACCCTCAAGTAGGCCCTGGTGTCTATTGTTCCCTTCCTTGTGTACATGTATACACAATGTTAACTCCCAATTGTAAGTGAGAATATGCAATATTTGATTGTGTGTTCCTGTGTTAATTTGCTTAGGATAATGTCCTCCAGTGTCATCTTTGTTGCTGCAAAGGACACAATCTTGTTATTTCTTATGGCTGTATAGTATTCCATGGTGTATATGTCTCACATTTTTTTATCCAGTTGACAATTGTTGAACATTTAGGTTGACTCCTTATCTGTACTATTGTGAGTAGTGCTGCAATGAACATACATATGTATCTTTATGGTGGAACAATTTATATTCCTTTGTATATATACTCAATAATGGGATTGTGGATCAAATAGTGTTTCCGTTTTAAGTTCCTTGAGAAATTGTCACACTGCTTTCCACAATGACAACTGTTCACATTACCACCACCAGTGTACAGGCATTCACTTTTCTCTGCAACCTCACCAGTGTGTTATTTTTGGCTTTTTAATAGTAGCCATTCTGGCAGGTATGAAATGATATCTCAACATGGTTTTGATTTGCATTTATTTAATAATTATTGATGTTGAGTACTTTTTATCATATGCTTGTTGGCCAAGTGCTTATCATCTTTTGAAAAGTGTCTATTCATGTCTTTTGCCCAATTTTGATTGAAGTTGTTCTTTTCCTATTAATTTGTTTAAGTTCCTTATAGATTCAAGATATTGGACCTTTCTCAAATAGTTTGCAAAAATTTTCCTCCATTCTGTAGGTTGTCTGTTTACTCTGTTAATAGTTTCTTTTTCTGTGCAGAAGCTATTTAGTTTAATTATATCCCATTTGTCAGTTTTTGTTACAATTGCTTTTGGCTTCTTTATTGAAAAATCTGTCAGGTCCTATGTTAAGAATGGTATTTCTTAGGTTGTCTTCCACAGTTTTTATAGTTTGGGGTTCTGCATTTAAGTCTTTAATCCATCTTGAGTTTTTTTTTTTTGTATATGTTGTAAGGAAGGGGTCCAGTTTCAATCTTCCTCATATGGCTGGCCAGTTATCTCACACCATTTATTGAATAAGGAGTCCTTTTCCCATTGCTTTTGTCAGCTTTGTCAAAGAACAGTTGGTTGTAGGTGTACAGCCTTATTTCTGGGCTTTCAATTCTGTTCCTTTGGCCTAAGCACTTTTTTTTTTGGTATATATACCATTACCATGCTGTTTTGGTTACTGCAGCCTTGTAGTATAATTAGAAATTACGTAGCATATTGTCTCCTGCGTTGTTCTTTTTGCTCTGTTTTGCCTTGGCTATTCAGGCTCTTTTTTGGTTCCATATGAATTTTAAAATAGGTTTTTCTAGTTCTGTGAGGAATGTCATTGGTAGTTTGATAGGAATATTAATATTTATTCTTCCTATCCATGAACATGGAATGTTTTTCTGTTTGTGTCATCTCTGATTTCTTTGAGAATTTTTTTGTAATTCTTGTTGTAAAGATCTTTTACCTACATGGTTATATGCATTCTTACATATTTTATTCTTTTTGTGTCTGTTGTGAATGGGATTGCATTCTTGATTTGGCTCTGATCCTGGATGTTGGTATATAGGAATGCTAGTAATTTTTGTACATTAATTTTGTATTCTAAGACTTTGCTAAAGTTGTTTTTCAGCTTAAGGAGCTTCTGGGCAGAAACTATGTGGTTTTCTAGGTATAGAATCATATCATTTGCAAATAGAGGCAGTGTGACTTCCTCTATTTCTCTTTGGATAGCTTTTATTTTCTTTATCTTGCCTGATTGCTCTGGCTAGAAATTTCTGAACTATGTTGAATAAGAGTGGTAAGAGAGGACATTCTTTTCTTGTGCTATTTTTCAAGAGTAATGCTTCCAGCTTTTGCTCATTGAGTATGATGTTAGCTGTGGGTTTGTCATAGATGGCCCTTACTATTTTGAAGTATGTTCCTTCAATGCCTGATTTGTTGAGGGGTTTTAATATAAAGCATGTTGAATTTTATTGAAAGACTTTTCTGCATCTATTGAAGTGATCATGTGGTTTTTCCCTTTAGTACTGTGTGTGTGATGAATCACATTTATTGATTTGTGTGTGTTGAACAACCTTGCATCCCAGGGAAAAAGCCTACTTGGTCATGGTGAATTAGCTTTTTGATGTGCTGCTGAATACAGTTTGCTAGTGTTTTGCTGAAAATTTTTGCATCGAAGTTCATCGAGGATATTGGCCCAAAGCTTTCTTTTTTGTTGTGTCTCTGCCAGGTTTTGATATCACAATGATGCTGGCCTCATATCATGAGTTAGAGAGAAATCCCTTCTCAAGTTTTTAGAATCGTATCAGTAAGAATGTTACCAGCTTTTCTTTATACATCTGGTAGAATTTGACTGTGAATACGTCTGGTCCTCAGGTTTTCTGGTTGGTAGGCTTTTTGTTACTGATTCCATTTTAGAACTCATTATTGTTCTGTCCAGGGATTCAGTTTCTTCCTGGTTCAGTCTTGGGAAGTGGTATATTTCCAGGAATTTATGGATTTATTTTAGGTGTTCTAGCTTGTGTGCATAGAAGTATTCTAATTGCCTTTGAGGGTTTTTTGTGTATCTGTGAGGTCAACAGTAATGTCCCTTTTGTCATTTCTGATTGTGGGGTTTTGGTTCTTTTCTCTTTTTTTCTTCATTAGTCTAGCTAGTAGTCTATCGATCATATTTATTCTATCAAAAATCGATTCCTGGGCTCATTAATCTTTTGTATGCTTTTTCACATCTCAATCCCCCTCAGTTCAGCTCTGATTTTGGTTGTTTCTTATCTTCTGCTAGCTCTGGGGTTGGTTTGCTCTTGTTTCTCTTGCTCTTCTAGGTGTGATGTTAGGTTGCTAGTTTGAGATCTTTCTAACTTTTTGATGTGGGTATTTAGCACTATAATCTTTCCTTCTTACACTGCTTTAGCTGTGCCCCAGAGATTCTGTGTGCTGTATCTTTCTTCTCATTATTTTCATAAAATTTCTTGATTTTTGCCTTAATTTCATGGTTTACTCAAAAGTCATTCAGGAGCATGTTGTTTAATTTCCATGTAGTTGCATGATTTTGAGTGATATTCTTAGTATTGATTTCTATATTTATTGCTTTGTGGTCTGAGAATGTCTTTGGTATTATTATTATTTTTTAATTTGCTGAGGATTTTCTTATGGCTGATTGGGTGATCGATTTTAGAGTATGTGCCATGTGCAGATGAGAAGAATGTATATTCTGTTATTTTGGAGTGGACAGTTCTTTAGATGTCTATTAGGTCCATTTGGTCAAGTGTTGAGTTGGGGCCCCAAATATCTTAGTTTTCTGCCTTGATGATCTGTCTAATACTGAGAGTGTGGTATTAAAGTCTCCCACTATTGTGTGTTTATCTAAATCTCTTGGTAGGCCTGTAAGAACTTGCTTTATGAATCTGAGTGCTCCTGTGTTGGGTGCAGTTATATTTAGAACAACAAGGTCTTCCTGTTGAACTGAACCCCTTTCCATTATGTAACGCCCTTCTTTGCCTTTTTTATCTTTGTTGATTTAAACTCATTATTTATTGAATAACTAACATGATCCCCTTATTTGTTAATTCCAACTTGCAAAACAAATAATTTTGTATTAGGAAGATAAAAAATGAGAAATCAAGAATCAATCCAAATTCAACTACTCATTGGTAAACTTACAAATCTCTTTGATGATGAAAACACACACACACACAGACACACACACACACACTTAACAGATATCAGGGAACATTTGTGTGTGTGTGTGTGTGTGTGTATATATATATATGATATTGTATATCATTAAATAAATTTAAAGGCTAACCAGTCACATGAAAATATAATTTATCTAGCTAAGGATCTATTACTATGAATAATATTTTAATTTACTCCTAAATTATGCTAAATCATTATTTATGAATATCTATCCCATTATTGTTTCCATTTGGATCAAATTCCAGGAAAATAACTACTAGTTCAAGAGGTTGAAGAACTGTAAAGACTTTGATACATATTGATAACTGACCTTTCATGACATTTGCCTTTTTTTGACGTTCTTACTACTATGAGAAGTTTTATTACTGTCCAAAATTATTTACTGCCTCCTAGGTAAGAGGATTCTTCACTCACTCTCTTTACCATGTGTTGTGCAGTGCAGTGTGTTATGATCTCCATTATTGAAAGTGTGTGTGTGTGTGTGTGTGTGGGTGGGTGGGTGGGTATTAAATGATTTTGTTGTTTACCAATGAGTAGTTGATTTTGAGTGATTCTTGCTTTTTCATGTGCAGTGCCTCTTCCAGTGGGCACTTTTGTGTGCCTTTTCCAACTTATGTATTTAAGACTTGACCGTGTAACTTGCTTCAGCAATGAAAACTGAGCGTTAAGAACTGAGCAAAAGCTTTAAGAGCTGTTGTATTACTCCCGTACACTTTTTCCCTCTAGCACAAGAACGTGTTACAGATAAGGTCTGCTACTTTATTCTGCACCTTAGAATGATGAAGCCAAGTGTGGAATAGCAGAATCATTTTTCACATGCAATACAGATTTTGTAAACCACTAGCATTTTCTTGTTATCACAGCATAGACTAGAAAAAAACTAGGTGACACACAAAAATTATTTGACAGTGTTTATTTTGTAATACCTATGCCGATAATGAAAATTGACATTAAAAAATATTTGCCTGGCTTCCTAATAGCCATCTTTCTACTGTTAATCTTTTGCTTTTCTTCCCAATTTATATTTTTGAACCAGATCTAAGATTGTTTTTAAACTTGAATATTACTTATACAATTTTATTTTCATTTATATATTGTGATTTTTATGCCTCAGTGTGCTTTTTCTTTTTTGTGTTGTCAGTAGTTCTCAATCTTCTTTCCTTATTTCACTTTTTTTTCTAGTGATTAAGGACATATGTATCCTTACTTATTTATTTCAACTAGTCACTTCCTTAACAACGGATTATACACATCTGTACTTCTCTAATATAGACTTCAAAATATAAACACCATCTATTGATTTCCTCCTAGCAAATGTGAGAATATAAATATGCTTTGGGTTTACTAGATTTTCTGAATTCCAGACATTTGTAACTAACATATGGAAGAATATACTCCAAACTAATTCTCATCATGCTACTATATTTATGCAATAAATAGAATTATTTTTGACAATGGCATAGTTTTATTCATATTTATAATAATAAATTAGGCTCAACTTCACATTGAATGATTTCAATTCTCATTATTGATCCTATCGTATTATTATTCATCTGGTTCTGCTGTCCTTATTTTGATTCTCTATGACTAAAAATGTTCCTTTGATTCAAGAAAACTGTGCAGTTAAATTTTACTTTTTCAGCCTTTTTACATCTATCGTTATCTTTTCTTTTCTATATTAATGGCAATTAATGGTTGTTATATAACCTTTGGAACTCAAAACTTTTTCTTTCAAATAAAGTCAAGTCAGTCTGATTTGGGTACTATTTTGGGTGACTCAGGTAAAATAATTTACTCTGGTGTGTCTAAATTCCTATTTAATTTAATTTTATGATATATGATGAAGAATTCATACTGTATTATTCAATTTTTTTTGTTTCAGGTGACCTATCTCCTATAATGTTCTTGATTATCATTTCTGTTCTGTTGGTTCTTGTCAAATGTGAGAATTAAATTTACATTATTTATCTCTGTTTTCTGTCTTCTTTATCTCTGATTTTTAAAATTCGTTTACTAAAGATTTTATTTTTTAGAGCAATCTTAAATTCATAGCAAAATTGAGAGAAAAATACAGAGATTTCCCTTATACCTTCTGTCCTCTACCTGTACCTTTCTTATTACCTATATCCCCCACCAGTATAGTGCAGGTATAACAATTAATGAACCTACATTGATACATCATTATCATCCAAAGCCTATAGTTTGCATTAGGGCTCACTCTTGGTGTTGTACTTGCATTCTGTGACTTTGGACAAATGTATAATGGCATGCATTCCCCGTTATAGTCTATAGAGTATTTTCATTGCCTAAAAATCCTCTGTGCTCTGCCTGTTCATCCTGGCCCCCATTATCCTCCAGCAAACACTAATGTTTTCACTGTTTCTATAGTTTTGCTTTTCCAGAATGCCATATAGTTAGAATGATACAGTATGTAGCCTTTTCAGATTGGCTTCTTTCACTTAGTAATATGCATTTAAAGTACCACATGCTTTTCCTGGCTTGATAGCTCATTTCTTTTTAGTACTAAATCTCCCATTTTTTAAAAAAACTTTTACCCATTTCTTACATCCTGGAACATCTTCCCAGCTCTCCTTATCATATACTTAAGTTTATGCATACCAGTTCTGATTTAAGCATTCCTAATATAGCTGGCAATTCATAATTATGCTTTTGCCTTTATAGCCTATACTTATATTTTCTCCTCCCTTTTTTCCAGCCTGCCTCTCCCCCAGGTCCCACTTTCTTTAAGTTTTTTATTTTATCAATTTTTATCTCTTATTTTAGATTTCAAATATTTTTACTTTTTCAGACGAGAAAATGTAAGTTATGTACAATTTTCTTCTGTTTTGGGTATTAGCTCATTTTTCAAAGTTAAAAGTCTTAATTGAAAGTTTGAGCTTCGGAAGTCAGACTGTTTTATAATTTTGGCTTTTTACCACTTACTAGCTCTGTGATATTGGACTTCTCCAGCACTCAATTCTATTTACTCACTTATAAAATGTATAGAGTATTAATAATTAAAATAGGTATTTTAATGTCCAAAACT
The DNA here is from genome assembly GCF_000001405.40 of Homo sapiens. Lineage (NCBI taxonomy): Eukaryota > Metazoa > Chordata > Mammalia > Primates > Hominidae > Homo > Homo sapiens. The sequence continues at coordinate 92,595,756 of NC_000006.12, read as the reverse complement.
CGGAGTCAAGCAAGAGACCTAATAGATAGTTAATGTTCCATAGGTACCAGTGCTAACACTGATGAAATGATGCTCTTCCCCATCCTCATCTGTGCTTTGGTCTTTCTCCTGTGTCCCAGTGTCTCTCACAAGACTTAAATTGCTCCTGGATTTTCTGTTGTTATTTTTGTTTGCTTATTCTTAAATATTGAAAATATAACCACTTTTGGTATTTTTCTCCGTATGAGGTAAGCTCCAACCTCACTTCCTGAGAAAGCAATGGTGGCATAAATGAAAGTAGATAGAACAGGACTTGATGCCAGTAAATCAGTTGAGAATTCATGACAAGGGAGGATTGGGGTTATAGATGGGAAATATTTTATTTGTACAAATGGCACTACTGCAGATTGAAAAGTACTGGGCTGACAACTTCAATGTCAGAGTTACTATCCAAAGCAAGTGGGTGGCAAGTATGACTACTGATAACTATATGGATTGGAAAGACTCTTATTGTTACACTGATGATTCTCAGAGTGGATGGAACATATAAACATATTATCATACTTAATTAGCATGTTCCTTCTTCATGGGATGAAGTCCTTCATAACATGTTTTTCCCCTTCTTTACAGGGATTTAACTTTTGATCTCTATATATTTTGTTTCCCAAAGTGTTTTTCTTTGTCTTATCTATTTCCCTTTTCAGTCCCCCTTGCTTTGAGTCTGGTTTTCAATCTCTGTCTGACCCCAAGACTTGAAAATATTAGTCACTTTATATTTCCCTGGAGCTGCTTTAATCAGAACTCAAACTTCATGTACCTTTTGCTATATGATTTCATTTTGTTCCATGGCCACAACCAAAGGACAGAGCTACCCTTTCTCCTGAACACAGCATCAACGAGGGATATCAAAGCAGGGACCAGAACATACTTCACTCCTCCAGAAGGAAAGTTTTAACAATCTTATTGAAGTTTATTTCTGCCTAGAGTGATCTAGGGTATAGGGCTAAGTGTCAGCAAATATTTGAAGGATTATTTTACAAAATAACCAACAAAGATAACAAGAATAAGATAAAGGGAAAATGTTATTTGGATGTTTACTATATGATACATTCTTATTTTATATTATTTATTTAATATATTTCATCACTTTTTATAATAATGGATACATTCCTTACCCCTCAAAATTGCCTCTGTTATAAGTTACCAAGTCCTTTGTTTCTGGAAATATTGTAGAAGAGGCAGTATTATCATCTGTCAAACAAATGGTTTTAAAAAGACTTTGAACAGATTGGGCAAATTAACCAGATCAACGGTCACCAAGCTGGGGCACTACAGAGTTCTACTGCAGGGGATGAGGCCAAGCTTGCTTCTTTCTTAGACCAGAGCTGCTACACTTCCCATCTGTTTTGTATTTTGGGGTTCTATATCCAATTTTATTTAAATAAAAAATTTCTGCTGGTAGAGTAAAGTTATAAATTGCTTGGCTAAATGACTTTTACATGCCCTTTCATTCCAACAATTCTGGTATGATTTTAAGTGTCTACTATTCAATGTGCAATATGCAAATATAAAGTTAAGAAAACAACTTAAAACATAGGCTTGCCATTCTTCTGTATTCATTAGTTAATAACTCTTTATTTCATTACTGTAATATAATAAGACATAGCTAATAGTTTTAAGACAGTGTGGGTAATGCACTATCCAGGATAAAGGAAGCTTAAGCTAAAGCATGATTATGAGACAGGAGATAAATTAGGGGACTAGTAAGTGGTATATTGATACTATTAATAATACATTATACAACATAATATTAAGCATATGACTTAAGATATCTTTTATAGATATTTAGATCCATTATGACTCAATTATAAAATATTGCCCTTGTTTTCAAAGAAATCATCACAATAGTTTTGGTAAATAATTTTTCCTTCCAATCTGAAATCTTTGTAAAGGATGCATTATGCGTTATGTAATAGTAAGATCTGTTCTCTCTTTACAAAGTTTGAAATAGTAAAAGCTAAATTTTTATCCTTCTATACTTGAGAAGTAGAAATTTCCATATGAAAAGCCATGATTGTGAATTTCAATATGAATAAAACTCCCAGTTCCACAAAATGGAAACATCCAATTAATTGTTTATTTGTCATAAGGAAAAAAATAAAACAAGAATTTGACTCAGTATTAATTGAGTGCAGATGATATAGATAAAGTATGGATTCTGGTTTCCATTGTCCTATTTTCTATTGGTAATATGGAACATTCTCAGCAGTACTTCAGCTTCTCTGTGTTACAGAATTTATACCACTCTGTGACTTCAGATAACTCTGAGAATCCTGTGGAGATAATAGCCTGTGTTCTTGCATGATGTTCTTTCATTAACATTTTCTCATTATGGTTCTGGCACTGTCCTTGCATACTTGGAAGGAACGGAGAATGAATTAAGGGAGTAGCCATGTGTCCATAGTTATAAAATTCTATCTTGTGACTGACTTTATGATTAAACTATTGCTATAGCAATGAAGACTATGTCCGAAGTAGAAATTTCAATATTCTATTTAGGCATAACTATTGAAGACTCAAGGTTGACATTTCTATAGTTTCATGAAAGTTTAAAGTAGATTACATTTTATTCAATATTTACAACTTCCGGTAATTGTGGTGGTGTACTAGTATTAATTAAAAATAATTCATATATTTTACATTCATAATTTTTTTCCATTTCTATTTATGTGAAACCTATGGAAATTAGGCCAAATACCATACTGGACATAAGAACAAATATAGTATATGCTTGATTACCATTTAGTTTGTCATAGATTGTTTTGAAGCATTGTCCTGATATATAGTAAAATCTCATGACTGTATTTTAGTACTGAATTTTAATACTTGTTAAATAAACTTTAAGAAACCAATTCAAATTACTATGAATAAAATGTTAAAATAATGACAGTCAAGAAGTAATTTCATCAGTTTCAGTGACCAAATTAAATAACTACCTACCTAACACTGTCATCAGTACCAAATTGTCAGTATTGTAAGTGATTGTGTAAGTATATGCATGCATACATGTAATAAGTTTTTGTTATTCATTTATTACTACATACAAGATAATGATAGATTCAGGCAAAGCCTCCAGACCATGAGGTATGATCTGCACTATGTCATCTGCACTCAATAAGTACTGATTACCTGCCATAAACAAAGTACCAAGGCTTACGTCCTCCTAAACATTGCACTCCAATGAAACACTGTAATCTCGTAAGGCACTGAGATGATTCTTATGAGTCTAATAGCACTCTAAGAGAGAATATGAATAAATTACAATGAATAATTAAAATAAGTAAATATATATGACAGGAGGAAGTTCAAATAAGTTTTTATAAAAGATATGGCACTGGATTTTGCCTTTAAAAATGAAAGTGCATGGAGAAAGAGAGAGAAATGGTGAGGAAATAGTTGGGGGGGAAAAGCATACCAGATACAAAGTATAACATGAAAAAAAATTAACAAAAACAGTTCCACAAAAAAGATCTATAAGATGTTGAGGTAAACTGCTTTCCTGCATCATTTACAAAACCAAATTCAATAATATGCAGACAGGGAGTTTCTAATATTTTATTTTTAAATAGAGTTGTATTGTATTTTATTTCCTTGGAAAGGGGCTTAAGTACAATGTCTCCTGGACATAGTCTCCCTTGAAAATGTTACATTCTACTATGATACCAGAATATACTATCCAAAATTTGACCAAAACATACAAATAAGTCTGTTTTAATTTCTTGTTCATATTACATTTGCAAAATGAACATTATACTGTTTGCTATCACTAACAATAAATGAAAAAATAAAGAATGCTTTCTATGAGCTAGCTATAAGCCATTATAAATGCTGTGTTTCCAAATGCCCTAATTTCTTATGGCACAAAAATATCTGTGATTATAAGGCCTGAGTTAGCCAAATAGTAATCTTGATTATTCTTAGCAGGGGAAAAAAAAGCATTAAGTGAGGACATTTCATATTTATGGACTTTTGTTTTCATTTTGTTTTTGAAATTGCTATTTTTGTTCAAACATAAACATTGCTATTTATTTGAATTATACAGACAGGTAGTCCTATGACTCACACATTTTATTCTTATTTAACTTTTGCCTGCTCTAAAAGTACTTTGGATCATTAATCTCAAACTTTTTGATAAAGGTCACCCTATCAACATACTTGTTCTTTCACTTATTTAGTTATAATCAAAACCTGTTCTGACACATAAAAGATGTTCTTATTATGCCAAAAAAATCTGGACTGGCATATTAATTTGCAAGCTACCCAAGAATCTTACTTTTATGAGCTCAACAGTAGCCAGATCAACACAATTACAGTCTTTATAAAAATTGAGTTTCTCTATCAGAAAATGAACAGAAAAGTCATTAAAATAGTATTATATACATATACCTTGGAGTTTTTCTTAAATCACTATTAAAATGGCAATTTGATTTTTAGAAAAATACTGAGCTATGATGATTTAAAAAAAGAAAGAAATATATAAGAAGGTGTAGCAATAAATGAATTCAGGAAGAAAAAAGATGAGAGAAAAGACATTAGAAAGGGGAAAAAAGTACCAAAATGATGTCTGCGTATACTCTTTTCTTAGCAGTCCCCAGTGACTCATTTTGATTCACCAAGTTCTTTAATTTTCCTTTCTTTTAAAGTTGGAATAGTAATATTTCTCACATCCTATATTTATAGCATCAGAAACATCAGTAGACTTTTGTAAATGCACTAAAATAGCAATAAAATGATGACTTGAAGCAGTTAATCTCCTTCTAAATTTTGACACATTTAAAGATATAATACCATCTTCATGAATTTGGTAGATTATAGAATCAATAACCACTTTGAGTGATTCAATTGCTTTTCTAAACAATAATGAAGTTAAAAGGAAGAAGAAAATTTCCACACATAATTGCTTTCTTAGGACAATTGAAAAAATCATACAAAAGCATATAAGTAAATTCTTTGTGACTGTGCATGAAGGACATAAACCAAACATAACTAGAATTAATCAATGACAGTCAAATTACAGCTGTTTTACACAATAGTAAACACATGTTTATGCATTTAAAAAATGCCAGACAGGCTGTGGTACTAGCTTATGTTTCCTTTTAGTCAAAAAAATAAAATGGCATGTTTATGCTTTGGGAATAAATTTATAGAAGTTAATATTTTTAAGGCAAACCTCTGTGTGATATTGTGAGGTTAGATAATGACTCTAGTTATCATTTCCCAACTCACACTGTAGCTTAAAACATAAAAACATAAGTACCTGGACCATTGGACCAAAGGAGGTGAAGGAGGGATGCTAAATAAAGAGGAACCACTGAGATAGGGCTTTTTATTCTGCTAGAAAATGTTAGCTATCATTGATTGAGAATTTACTCTCTGTTAGACACAAGGCTAAGAATTTTGTCTAGCATCATTTCCATGGCATTATTTCATCACCATAACACTATTAGATAGTTACTGTTATTTTCTGTTTTGTGATGATGACGTTTGAGGTCAGAGAGGTCAAAGTATGCTCTAGGCATCACAGCCAGTAAGTGACAAAATGGGAATGGAATTCCCACATGTAATGTTTGCTCAGAACTTACTGACTGTGCTCATTTAGTCCAACACTTTCTGAGTAGAATCCCAGAAGTTCAAGAGGGTAGATGTTAGAACAAAGTGCTGCTTAACAAGTTGGTCCTTGCAGCAGGTGCTGACTTTTCTAGAATATTTGGGTTGAGGAAAGAGAGTGGTGCCAGGGAGAGGGAATCAATCAGTACTCCAGGGACTAGGAATATGTCATTTTAGTGCTGAAGTAAGTGGGTCAGAGGGACATGCCTGAGAGGATGGAAGCCTCAGACCCAGAAGAAGTCAGAAACCCAATGGTCCTGTCTCCCAGCTCTACCCCAAATAGAATATCATAGCCAGAGAAGCAAGGCTTTATCTATGACCAGAGATTGAAAGGTAAGTCCAACATTCTGACTATCCAAGTTCTTGCAGTTTATACACAGTGGCAGATTGACTGACCACCTTGCAGTCATCTCACCTTCTATTGTCTATGTAAAATGGTTATGTGTTTTTCCTAAAGTTTAGCTCCGCATGATTCCGGGCATGACAACTGCCCTTTTGGTTCTCAGTGGCTGTCTCTGCCTGTGAATATACTAGCTGATGATGGTAGTCTCTACTTAAAAGACTGTTATGTAGTTCTGAGTTTATATTTGCTTAATATTTAACATTAAGCATAGAATGTTCATATTAAACAAATGTTTTGAAGTTGACTACATTAAAACACTTTTAGCATTATTTTTAATGATGAATCTGCTTGTACCATCCAAAATCTTCAATTAGTCATGGCTTGTTTTATTTCTTTCTGAAGAGTATGTTTATTTAATTCCATGCCATTTTACAGGTGAGGCAATCAAAGCACAGAGGAACTAAGGGGTTTGTCAGATGAATCCTGTAATTTATCTCGGCTTTTGTTTTGAAGTCTGGACTTTGAGTGGTCTACCTACGTTGAAGGGAATTTTTGGCAACGGAGGAAGATGACCAGTGTCACACGGAGCAGGCTGGGATTAAAGAGACAGTGCCCTTGGAATGAATGACAAAGTGACAGTAGTAACCTGCATTTTGTAAAGCACCTCGTTAAGATGCATATTCTCTTCATATTTATTCCCCTTTCTATATCACTAGGTTTTAGATATTCCAGCTTGACTTAAACTGCAAAGTGGGACATAAAGGGAGAAGCCACAATCTATGCTTGGGTCTGGATTGTGCTGTAATGCAGCGAACAATGGTGAAATGAAATTGATCATTAAAAGGTGTCAAAATAAGTCAAACCTCGGGGGATGAGAATTGGCACTCTGAAGTCCAGCTACTCTTCTTGTGAGGAGAGTATTTCCAAAATATGAAAACATTTGAGTCTTGTTTTATTATGAGAAACAGCTGTGGGGATCCATAGTCAGATATTTTGTATGCCCAATGAAGCAGTAGAACTAGAACTCAGAAATATGTAGCGTTATGGAGGCAAGGATTTCTTTATGAGGTATGGCAGTTACTGTATGCTGGCGCTGCCTTCACTAGCCTAAGTGGCAGTAAGCCTAATGGTTCTGTGCTCTGCAAAGCTGTGGATTGACAACTGAATTTAAAACATTCTTCATAACAAACAAGGAACACAAGGTATGGGGACTATTTGTATATTCTCAATTTGGGGTATTCCATTTGAATGAGCAGATAGAAAACGAGTGAAATCAACCTAAAAATGACTCTGAGTCCCATAATTCTTGCTAATAGTGGAACCTGTGACCAGCCTTTGTGGTCTATCTTAGCTTATCAACAGTTTCCTTTCAAATCATATTTGAGCAATCTGGATTCCGTTCAAGCTTACTGTTTTATTATCTTACCACTATTTTGGCACCAGTATCTTGGTTTCTGCTCTCGCCATAAATCAATTTAGCCCATACCTGGGTCTTAGTGAAAACATTTTTTTTAACTGGGGTATTATGCAGAGACAAAACTAAACAAACCTTAGTCTGGAGAAAAAGAGGCAATATTTTCTTTATTCATTAAAGCATCATCAATCCTTACTCAGTCCTTCTTACAAAGCTTTCATTTATTACCAATACTTGAAGTCTTTGTGACTCCATCCATATACACATCATTAATAATATCCTTAAATTCAAAAATGCCATGCTACTTCTTGATTCTTTGCCACATTTTCCTATAGTTTCAGACCTCCTGGCATGCTACTTTGCTAATTCTATCAGAGGCAAAGTAGTTATATCTATAAGAGATAATTGCAAAATTTGCTTTTCCAACAGAAATAAATTCAAGTCACTGAATTGGAGAAATTGATGTGTTTTATTTTATCTATCACTATAGATAAATCTTGAAATTCTAAGATTGTTTTTATTTAAGATAGGTAAATGTGGATTTGAGGTTAGGTGATTCAACTGTTATTTATATTAAGGCAACACTTGAGAACAATCCAATAGCATTTCATAAAGTCCTACCTAAGTCCTGTGGAATTTCGTTTCTTTGATTTAATGCCAAAATGGGAATCATCTTGTTAAAGTGAAGGTAAATCAGCATTAGGCTTAGACAAATAAAGGAAAAGTTTGTTTTACTGCTGGTGTCTAAGTTTAGAATTTATAAAGAAGTGACTAGGAGCAAAACCCAATAACACATTGGGCAAGATGTTTTATTCATTCATTGCCACCTACATATTCAACTCTAAATTTTAATGTGTGCCCTTAATACAGAAACTAAACCACATAATTCTTAACTTTGTTCCTCAATAGCAGGTAAACAATATTGAGATTAATTGCATGTTGACTTAAGCTTGTCATCACCATAACTAACAAATAAAACTGCTCTTCAAATGTATTTTAACATTTTTTATTTCAATTGAAGTACAGAGACATTTTTTAAAATGTTTCATCTTGCTTAAAATGAACAAAAACTTTCTATATCAGATTGTCTCTTACAGTTCCAGCCCCTAGTGAAATCCTTCGCTTAGACCCTTATTATTATTAATTATTCAACATAATCTTGACTATTGGTTTTCTATGCAGCAATCATTGCTCTTTCTTTCCCATATTGTAACCTCAACTTTGGCAAAGTAGTGATAAGAAATAGTAAAGAATTCAGGACTTAACTGTTTGATAGGATGCTTGCTTTTAAGGGCTTGAGAGTGAAGAGGAGTAAGAAGCCAGTTTGATGTTAGGTTCGGCATAGTTATTCTTTTTTCAGATTTTTATCTAAATCAAACCTTCTTATATGAGCTGTGGAAGCAGTGTCTGTCTGCAAGTCACAGAGATTTAAGGGACCAGAGGGATCAAAATATGTAGAAGAAATGTGGAAACTGTACAGCAACCAAAGAAGGAAAGAGAAGCATTCTTCCTTAACTAAAGTCGCAGCTCCATAGGGGAAGTGAGAAAAAAAGCAAGATGAAAATAGAAGAGTCACGTGATTTTTGTGCCAAAAAGAATCAGTGGTGAATTAATTGGTATATTGTCTTTTTTTTTCTGCTGTAGACTCAAAAAATAATGATGAAAACATAATCCCCTCCCACTCCTGCCCTTACAGGAAGGGCGGTTGGAATTTTTTTTTTTCCTTGAGTTGTCAAATCTTTGGCCTTCTGTACAGTAGACATTTGTCTGGATTTGAGGGATTTGCAAGTGGCAGAGGACAGAATCCCGCTCCCAAGCAGACTCATTTCAGGGGAAGCAGGACATCAGAGGAAATTGCTCAGGATGGAATAAAGGCAGCAGCAATGCTCTCTGAGGCAGCAGTGCTCAGAACACGGTGAATGACACCAGGGACAGCTGCTCTGTTTAGCAGAAGGAGGAATGGGAGGCACACAGACCACTGGGAATAGCCAAGGTGGTCTGGAGGCACGCAGGGGTGGCAGGGGAAGAAAAGTGAGAGCAATCAGAACTGATATCAGATTCCGCACGAACTCTCTCAAGTGGAAACTCAGAGACAGATTTAATTTGATTTTGAAAAACTTGAAACAAAAAAATATTTCTTGTACCTCGTACCATGGAGCAATTCGTAAGGCTACATAGTTAACACTTCGTCAACTCTAACAACTAATTCGGAGACCAGACCTGCATTATTCTTAGTTCCATGTGCTCTCCAAAAGTTACTAGGTTTTTTTTTAGAATGTTTTTTAAGAAAGCCAAATAGCTTAGGAATAGATTTCAGACATTGGAATTCCTACTGACATACCTGCCTCTACATTAGGTTTGACAGCTCAGAACATGAAAAGTCTGTTGCCATAAGTACTGAAACAATTGGGGCAACATTCATGTTCTGTAACCACCTCTGTCCTGATGTTTAATCTGTGTATCATTGATTCGTGTTCCAGGAGCCTTTTCAATTTATAATAGTTTTACACTTAACTGTGAAAACTTTGTAAAATTGTTTTCAAATAAAGAATTGTATATTTTTCCAACAATGGGAATGATAGACCCACTGCAGAAATTATAATAAGCCAAATGACAGGCTTAAAATAAGGATCGTTATGCCTTTTAAGATGACAGATAAAAATCCAATAGAACTGACACAATGAAAGGAAAGTCCTGCTTCACGCTAGTGGGCTTTACCACACACCACACACACACACACACACACACACACACACAGAGTCACCAACAATGCTATTCACTTGTCTGAAGATATGTAACTACACAATGCTGTCAATGTGAATCCTGAGCCATGCACATAGTTCTTTTCTTATTGCACCAATTTGGATGTAGACCTATTAAAATTTGTGAATTGTCAATCAATCTTGTCTTGAAACATTTGTAAACTATATATACTGTGGGTAAGAGAGCAAATGGATAGGAGAAGGTGTACTTTACACTACACCAATAGAAATCAGATAATGGTGTTCCATGAAATTTAAGAATGTGTATTTGATCTCACATTTTGTTTATTCCTCGTTCCCTCGAAAAATACATTCTCACTTTATTATCATAAACAACTACTGATTATTGTGAATTATATACAGCATTATAAAATGTGTTCATTAGCAATATGTATTCTTTACCGGGTATTAAAGCAAAAATACATAGACATTTGTATAAAAATCTTTTTATGTATTTTTATTGAAATCTTTGTATACATTTAAAAATTAACCATAAAAGTTTGTTTTATAACTATTCTTAATTAAACAAAGAATCAAGAAAATAGTACTTACAAATATAGTCTAATAAAGATGCTAATTTTAAGATTTTTTTCTAAAACTAAAGTGTTATTCAATATGTTTCACTTATCAAAAAATATAAAAAACATCGCTTTTTCTTCATATAACATTTATATGCATAAAACTCTGACCTAATGTCTGAATTTTGACTGTTATTTATACATTAATTTACTACATTCACTGAGAAGTTGTGCATACCTGGTAGGTTATAATGTCAGTTGTTGCCTTCGTCCCCTTACTGAATGGTGTGAGAGCTCCTAAACAAGCAATTCAATTATACTTGGAGGCTGCAGGTAGAAATAAAGGCCCACTTGAGATGATTTCCAAGCTTTGGCCCAGTGACAAAAAATAATCAAGATCTGATATTCAATCTTTTCCCACTCAAACTTTATTTTTGATTTAAAATTGAATGTACAAATGCAAAATATGTTGCCTTTTAAACTTCAAGAAACATATTATATTGCTGCCTAAACAAACATAACATTGCTTGCTGGGTGGTGTTATGTTGGGATTCTATATGTGAAGTGACGAGCAGAGAAACATGACTCCACTGTATATTATTATTATGTCCTACAAAATACAATGCACTGATTGAAAGAAAAATAGTTATTTTCAATATTCATTCTTGTACCCACTGAAAAAAGTTATTATCCACCTTCTGTTTGTCCTAATATGCTTGAAAATCTTGAGCAATGTGCACACAATTAAGGTGTGTTTTAACTTTATATGAATTATAAGTTATGGATACATACATGATTTTTTTATTGTCAGGGGAAAAGAAAGCTTAGCTAGAATTTTCAAGTAAACCACTTCAACATTTCCCAAGGAAGGAGCCACTCACTATTATTTGCTTGAGAAATAAACCATTGTAATCTCTTAAAGCTTTCCCATCTTTGGGAGTAGGTGTATTCATGAACAATGAAAAGCCCAGGATTGAATGCTAATTCTGGTAGGTAGGTTCCTAAAGAGAAAAAAGCACAGCTCAATTGTGAAGAGAAAGTATCTACCCTCTCGGTAGAGACCCTGGAAAAGTAAGAAAAACTAGTAATGGAGAAGGCATTAACTCTTGATGAATGTTCTTAGAAAAGCCAAGTAGTCTCTGCATTATTTATTAGGAGCCGAGATCGAAGGAGTGTGTTTGCCCAACTGTAATGCAAACATTCTTACTTATCAATTTTCTTACCTAAAACTCATGCTATAATCTATTTCCTTATATATATACTATGAAATAAAAAGCATGTTTCTTATAACAGTATCACATCCAACTTTGCAACTTACATATTGACTTTCATTAATTGCTAAAAACTGGGATTTTCAAAAATGGACCAAAATGTCCACCAAATATTCCAAAAACTCCCAAGCTTTAGATCTTATATGAATATGTAACTGCACATGGTTGTCTCAGTATCACCTCAAACTTGTCAGGTCCAAAAGTTAGTTTTCATTCTTTCACCCGTTCTCTACTTTTCTCCCGATTTATTATTTTTACTAGTAAAACTCCATTCTTCTACACATCATCCCCCTCCTGCCACCCAGTTCTCTTCCTACCCTGCATTCCCCTGCCTGCCTCCACCCCCAAGTCGTTCCCGATCTATTTTTCTTTACAGAGACCAGTTTCATATATTTTTCTCCTTTTTCATTGTACTGAGTACGGTCCTCCATTCTTTTGTGAAAAGTAAATTATATTCTTTAATAAATTATTACAAAATTAGTACATACTCATTAGGAAAACTTGGACCATACAGAAATTCACAGGGATAAAAATAAAAATCTGTGGCATTCTCACTACTAAGAGATAAATACTGTTTGTTACACATACACACTTTATATATATTTTTATTATTTTTAAATTTCCAACTTTTAAGTTCAGGGGTACATGTGCAAGATATGTAGGTTTGTTACATACATAAACACATGCCGTGGTGGTTTGCTGCACAGATCATCCCATCACCTAGGTATTAAGCCCAGCATCCATTAGCTATTCTGCCTGATGCTCTCTGTCCTTCCACCCCCAAACCTGTAACAAGCCCCAGTGTTGTGTTGTTACTTACTATGTGTCCATGTGTTCTCATCATTCAGCTCCCACTTATAAATGAGAACATGTGGTATTTGGTTTCCTGTTCCTGTGTTAGTTTGCTAAGGATAGTGGCCTCCAGCTCCATCCATGTCCCTGCAAAGGACATGTAAGTATAGCTGCCTGTTATTCTATGGTTTATATATACCATATTTTCTTTATTCAGTTTACCATTGATGAGCATTTAGGTTAATTCCATGTATTTGCTATTGTGAAGAGTGCTATAGTGAACATACTTGTGCATGTATTTTTATAATAAAACAATTTATATTCCTTTGGGTATATACCCAGTAATGAGATTGCTGGGTTGAATGGTAGTATTTCTGCCTCTAGGTCTTTGAGGAAGTGTCACACTGTCTTCTACAGTGGTTGAACTAATTTACACTCCCATCAACAGTGTAAAAGCATTCCTTTTGTTCCAGTGCCTCACCAGCATCTGTAGTTTTTTTGTTTAGTTTTTTTTTTTTTTTTTTTTTTACTGTTTAGTGATAGCCATTCTGACTGGTATGAGATGGTATTTCATTGTGGTTTTGATCAGTGATGATCTAATGATCAGTGATGTTGAGCTTTTTTTCATGTTTGTTAGCTACATGTATGTTTTCTTTTGAAAAGCATCTGTCCGTGTCCTTTGACCACTTTTTAATGGGTTTTTTTGTTCTTTTCTTGTAAATTTGCTGAAGTTCCTTATAAATGCTGAATATTAGACCTTTGTCAGATGGATAGATTACAAAAATTTTCTTTCATTCTATAGATTTTCTGTTTATTCTGTTGATAGTTTCTTTTGCTGTGCAGAAGCTTTTTAGTTTAATTAAATCCCATTTGTCAATTTTTGCTTTTGTTGCAATTGCTTTTGGCTTCTTTGTCGTGAAATCCATGTCAGGTCCTATGTCTAGAATGGTATTTCCGAGATTGGCGTCCAGAATTTTTATAGTTTTGGGTTTTACATTTAAGTCTTTAATCCATCTTGAGTTATTTTTTTGTTTATGGTGTAAGGAAGGAGTCCAGTTTCAATTTTCTGCATATGACTAGCCAGTTTTCCCAACAACATTTATTAAATAGGGAATTTTCTCCCCATTGCTTGTTTTTGTCAGGTTTGTCAAAGATCAGATGGTTGTAGGTGTTCAGTCTTATTTCTTTCTGGATTCTCTATTCTCTTCCATGATCTATGTGTCTGTTCTTTTTGAGACAGAGTATCGCTGTGTCACCCAGAGTGATGGAGTGCAGTGGTGCAATCTTGGCTCACCGAAACCTCTGCCTTTCAGGTTCAAGCAATTCTTGTGCCTTAGCCTCCAGAGTATCTGAGACTAGAGGCACACACCACAACACCCAGCTAATTTGTGTATTTTTACTAGAGACTGGGTTTCACCATCTTGCTCATGCTGGTCCCAAACTCCTGACCTCAAGTGATCTACACACCTCAGTCTCCCAAAGTGTTGGAATTACAGGCATGATCCACCATGCTGCGTATGTGTTTGTTTTTGTACCAGTACCATGCTGTTTTGGTTACCGTAGCCTTGTAGTATACTTGGAAGTCAGGTAGCATGATTCCTACAGTTTTTTTTTTTTTTTTTTTTTTTTTGAGACAGAGTCTTGCTCTGTCACTCAGGCTGGAGTGCAATGGGAGGATCTCAGCTCACTGCAACCTCCACCTCCAGGGTTCACACCATTCTCCTGCCTCAGTCTCCCAAGTAGCTGGGACTACAGGCACCCGCCACCACACCCAGCTAATTTTTTTTGTATTTTTAGTAGAGACGGGGTTTCACTGTGTTAGCCAGGATGGTCTCAATCTCCTGACATCATGATCCACCCACCTTGGCCTCCCAAAGTGCTGGGATTACAGGCATGAGCCACCACACCCTGCTCATCTTTGTTTTTTTACTTAGGATTGCCTTGGATATTTGGGCTCTTTTTTGATTCCACATGAATTTTAAAATAAGTTTTTCTAGTCTGTGAAGAATGTCAGTGGTAGTTTAATAGCACTGAATCTATAAATTGCTTTGGGCAGTATAGTCATTTTCACAATATTGCATTTATATTCATGAAGGATATTGGCTTGAAGTTTTCCTTTTTGTTGTTGTATTTCTGCCAGGCTTTGGTATCAGAATGATGCTGATCTCATAAAATGAGTTAAACAAGAGTCTCTTTTTTTTTATTTTTTGGAATAATTTCAGTAGGAATGATACCAGCTCTTGTTTGCACCTCTGGTAGAATTCAGCTGTGAATCCATCTGGTCCCGGGCTTTTTTGGTAGGTAGTTTTGGTAGGTAGTCTTTTTTTTCTGGTTCAGTGTTGTGAGGCTGTATGTGTCCAGGAATTTGTCCATTTTTTCTAGATTTTCTGGTTTATATGTGCATAGGGGTGTTTATAGTATTCTCTGATGGTTGTTTGTATTTCTATGGAGTCAGTGGTGATATCCCCCTTATCATTTCTGATTGTGGTTATTTGAACACAACCAATTTGGAAATTTCAAAACCAATCTCTCTTTTCTTCTTTATTAGTCTAGCTAGCGATCTATTTTATTTTATTTTATTTTTTTCAAAAAAACTTCTCCTGGATTAATTGATTGTTTGAAGGGTTTTTCATATCTCTATCTCCTTCAGTTCAGCTCTTATCTTGTTTATTTCTTGTCTTCTGCTAGTTTTGGGGTTTGTTGCTCTTGCTTCTCTAGTTCTTTTAGTTATGATGTTAGGTTGTTAACTTGAGCTCTTTCTAGCTTTTTGATGTGGGCATTTAGTGCTATAAATTTTCCTGTTAACAGTGCTTTAGCTGTGTCCCAGAGATTCTGGTTTATTCTATCTTTGTTCTCCTTAGTTTCAAATAACTTCATGATTTCTGCCTTAATTTCATTATTTACCCATAAGTCATTCAGGAACACGTTGTTCAATTTCCATGTATTTATACAGTTTTGAGTAAATTCCTTAATATTGAGTTCTAATTTGATTGCACTGTGTTCTGAGAGATTGCTTTTATTATTTCAGTTCTTTTGCATTTGATGAGGAGTATTTTAGTTATGATTATGTTATCAATTTTACAGTAAGCATTATGTGGTGACAAGAAGAATGTATATACTGTTATTTTGGGGTGGAGAGTTCTGTAGATATCTATCAGATCCATTTGATCCAGAGCTGAGTTCAGGTCCTGAAAATCTTTGTTGATTTTCTGCCTTGATGAACCATTTATCATTGTCTGTGGGGTGTTAAAGTCTCCCACTATTATTGTTTGGGAATCTAAGTCTCTTTGAAGGTCTCTAAGAACTTTCTGTATGAATCTGGGTATTCCTGTATTAGTTGCATATATTTAAGATAGTTAGCTTTTCTTGTTGAATTAAACCCTTTACCATTATATAATGCCCTTCTTTGTCTTTTATCATCTTTGTTGGCTTAAAGTCTGTTTTGTCAGAAATTAGGATTTCAACCTCTGCTTCTTTCTGCTTTCTATTTGCTTGGTAAATTTTTCTCTATCTTTTCATTTTGAGCCTGTGTGTGTCTTTGCATATGAGATGGGTCTCTTGAAGACAGTATTCCAGTGGGTCTTGGTTCTTGATCCAGCTACCATTCTGTGTCTTTTAATTGGGGCAGGGGCATTTAGCCCATTTACATTTAAGGTTAGTATTGTTATGTGTCTTTTTGGTCCTGTCATCATGATGCCAGCTGGTTAGTTTGCAGAATTGCTTTTGTGGTTGCTGCATAGTGTCACTGATCTGTGTACTTCAGTGTGTTTTTGTAGTGGCTGGTAATGGATTTTCCTTTCCATATTTAATATGCTTCCTTCAGGAGCCTTTGCAAGGTAGGTCTGATGGTAATGAATTCCCTCAGCATTTCCTTGTCTGAAAAGGGTCCTATTTCTCTTTTGCTTACAAAGCTTAGTTTTGCTGGATATGAAATTCTCAGTTGCAAATATTTTTCTTTAAGAATGCTGAATGTTGACCTCGAATCTCTTCTGGCTTGTAGGGTTTCTGCTGAGAGGTCCACTATATCTGATGAACTTTCCTTTGAAGGTGACATGGACTTTCTCTCTGACTACTCTTCAATTTTTTTCTTTCATTTTGACCTTAGAGAATCTGATTATTACCAGTCTTGGGAGATGATCTTTTCATGGAGTTCACTGGGGTTCTCTGCATTTCCTGAATTTAAATGTTGGCCTGTCTTGCTAGGTTGGGAAAGTTCTAGATGATATCCTGAAGTATGTTTTCCAAATTGGTTTCATTCTCCCTGTCTTTTTCAGGTACCCTAATTAGTTGTAGATTTGGTCTCTTTACATAGTCCTATATTTCTCGGAGTTTTCGTTCATTCCCTTTATTCTTTTTTCTCTTTTCTTGTCTGCCTGTCTTATTTCAGAAAGATAGTCTTCAAGCTCTGAGATTCTGTCCTCCACTTGGTCGATTTTGCTATTAATACTTGTGATTGCATTGCGAAGTTTTTGTAGTGTGTTTCTCAGCTATATCAAGTAAGTTATGTTCCTCTGTATACTGATTATTTTGACTGTCATCTCTTGCATTGCTTTATCATGATTCCTAGCTTCTTTGCATTGGGGAAATATGTTCCATTAGCACAGAAAAGTTTGTTTTTGTCTGCATTCTGAAGCCTACTTCTAATTTTTCAGCCACATCAGCCTCAGCCCACTTCTGAGCCCTTGCTTAAGATGTGTTGCAGTCATTTGCAGGAAAAGGCACACTCTGGCTTGTTGAGTTATCAGCATGTTTGCATTGATTCTTTGCCATCTTTGTATGCTTATCTACCTTTGATCTTTGAGGTTGCTGACCCTGAATGGGTTTTTGTTGTTGTTGCTGTTTTCTATTTGTTTGTTTCTCTTTTAGCAGTCTGGCCACTTTTCTGTAGTGCTGCTGTGATTGGCTGGGGTGTCTGTTTTGGACCCTAGTCATCTCCAGTACCTGGAGCTATCACTAGTACAAGCTGTGAACAGCAAAGATGGCAGCCTGCCCCTTCCTCTGGAAGCTTTGTTCCAGGGAGGTACTGACCTGTTGCCAGCCTGAACATGCCTGTAGGAGGTGGCTGGAGACCCCAATTAGGAGATCTCACCCAGTCAGGGGGAATGGGATCAGGGACTTCCTTAAAGAAGCAGTCGAGCAGTTTTGGTAGAGCAGCTGTGCTGTGTTGGGTTCAACCTCCAATTTCGGGGAGCTGTCTAAGGCTCACAGGCTGGATCATCTGAGGTGCCCGAACAGCCAGGGTTGTAGCCTGTGCTGCCCCCTGGGCACTCCAACACAGGGAAAAATTAGAACTCTGGCAGCCATAGAACATAAGCTGGGCTGGCTAGAAGCCTGCCGCTGGGAAGACACACTGAGTGAGGAGGAATGAATCTAGATCCCTCTTAAAGCAGTCTGGCCACACTTGGACAAAACAGCTGAGTCGTGCTGGGTAACTGCCTCTGCCTCTATTGGCTTGGACTCTCCAAAGCCTGCAGACTGGAATGGCTGAGTCATCCAAAGGATCAAAGAGGTGGTACATCCCCTTCCCCCCAGGACTACATTCCAGGGAGAGATCAGAGCTCTGTTTGCAGCATATGGTCAGGAATGGCTGGCAGTCCCAGCTGGGAGGTCCCCCCCATTGAAGAGGAATGGATTGGGATCCTGCTTTAAGAAACAATCTGGCCACATTCTGGCAAAGCAGCTGTGCTGCAGTGGTAGAACCCTTCCTCCTCTGGACTGTTTGCACTGTCCAAAGCCCACAGGTAGAAATGGCTGAGTTGACCATACAGCAGAGAGGGTGGCCTGCCCCTGTCCCCAGGGGCTCTGTCTCAGGCAGGCTCCACCCTGTTGTCAGTGGCTGGCTGGAATTCCAAGCCAGTGGGTCTTATCTTGTGAGGTGCCATGAAAGTGGGGCCTGCAGAACTGTGTTGCTTGGGCCCCCTGGACTTATCCCCCTTCATAGAGGAGAGTAGGAACCTCCCACCTTGCCAGGGATATTGGGGCTGGAGTATGTAAAACTCCTGGGTCTCTGTGCATGCCTGAGCAGCTGCTCTGCCAAGATTCTACACAACTCTGTGTTGGACCAAGGCCCTAGTGATGTGGGCTCATGAGGGTATCTCCTGACCCAGGGTTGCAAAGATCCGTGGGGGAAGCATGGCTTGCCAGGGCTGCACAATCACTCACTGCTTTCCTTAGCTGGGGTGGGGGTTCCCTTGGCTTCATGTCGCTTCCAGGTGTGCTGATGCCCACCTTGCTTTTCTTTATTCTGTGTGGGTCGAGTTGTTTCCCTTATTAGTCCCATTGTGAGTACCTGGATATTTTAGTTGAAGGTGCTGTTTTCACTTGTTCCTTCATTCCTCTCCACGAGTGCTACAGACCACAGCTGTTTGTAATCAGCCATCTTGCCCATTATCCCCATTTGATTTTAAGTAGTTTAGATTTTGGATAATAAAGTTCTGAACCCTGTATTTTTGGCCTAATATTTTCCATGTCATTGAAATGATTAAGTATTACTTAATAGCTGGGTTATAGCCTCTCTTAGAGATGCATCACAAATTTTAAACTATTTCTTCTATATAATCAAGCTTGTTCTAGGTTTTGATCATGAATAATTTTATGTTGAACAATTGTCACAGAGATTTGTCCAAATTTCTGATAATTTCTTTAGTATAGCTTCCTAGAAATGCAATCATTGGATTCAACACTATGAATGTGACCTCTGTACATAATTAACCTAGTAGTATGTTTCTGTATGGTTGTTAGTGTTAAGTGGGGAGTTTGATTATAAGACTTACTGTAGAGGAGAAGTGATAATCACAAGAATATAAACATTCATGCTTTTCATAAGGTTGAAATGAAGAAAATAAATGCTGAGTAATTGTGTAGATTTTTCAGGTAGTAGGCTCTAACTGGAATCATTTTTCTAATCTCCAAATGGAGGACATGGTTGTCTGGTGCCTGATATCCCAGTAAAATATTTTTAAAGTAAACAAAATAGTGAATTGCAGGGTTTGCTTCTTAGAAGTTCCATCAATATAGTAAAATTGATTCTACATGGGACATGAACAAAGAACAGTAAGTCTGCAGCTGTCTATCTCTGTTATCACCCAGAAGAAATACTAGACTGGAGTATGCACTCAAATAGTTCTCCATCAATAACAGTTTCCTAACCAGGCTTTCTATGGAGATTGAACAGCAGTGAATTCTGATTGCAAAAAAGAGCAATATAGTCTGTGCGAAATGGAAGAAGAGTTAAAACTTTCTTTTAAAAAGCATAGTACAAACTTAACCATCCAATGCACTTGATAGGGTGACTACTCGGAAGAAAGAAGCAGACCAAGTTAGTACATGTATGAAGAACAAAACTACTGGCAAATCTGTTCTAAATTCACAGTAGCTCACCAGCATAGGGAAGAAAAAAAAGCTGTGAATTTGTGTGTCATTAGAAAATCCGTAATAATTATAGTCTGAAAATCATGAAATTATGTTAACTATAGTCAGAAAAATCTGTTTAGCATTCATTGTATTTTTCCATTTAATCAATATGGTTTTTATTAAATTCTATACAGTTGTTCTCCTCAGAAACTGAATGATTGGATCAGTTGAATAGCTTCCGCTAAACATAATTTTGGATTAAGAGTAGTTGATCTGGATCCATTATGATAGAATTCAATTCAGTAAAAGAAATTCAATAAGTGCCCCACCTCCACCCCTGAAAAAATTCTGCAGCTCTTTCATAATCTAGGCTTGACTCTAATTAGAAGAGATGAGGCTTCCCTTTATGCCTTTGGCCTGATAATAAAGCCATATAGGCAGCATAAACAGAAACTTTTATATTCTTTACTTTTCAAGTCAGGCTGGAGAGCCCCACATTTACTAAAAGCAGCATGAAACCAGGCCAAGCCATTAGGCAGCCCATGAGGGGAGGAGCTTTGTCCCTAATGTCTACAGTGTGTCTGTTACTAGTCCCAGAAACATAGTAGCATGTGTTAGTTTTATTAAAGTTACATTTTAATACAAAATTTGGGTTGAAAAAAAAATAAAGTCTCCAAAACTATTCCTGTGATGGTGTTATTTGACCGTTACTACTAATATTGACTCTTAACGCTGGTATTAAATCCCTGTTCTAACCACCAAGAATCACAGATTAGAACTGAATTAACTTTCATTAATGCAATACTAAAGTCCTCAGAAAACTTATCAAATCTCCAAACATTTTATGATGTCCATTAAGAGCTTTCTGCACAAGGTTTTGGAAAACACGGGGATTGTCAGACGAGAAGATACTATAGATTAACTCTCTCTGTTCCTCAAGTGAACTATTGACCCAGATAATATACGACTTTATCAATAGACTCAGACTTAAAGTAAATTAACTGAATTTTATTATCTAGAAAGAAAAGTTTCCCTGTTAAATAATCCATATAGGCAAAATTGTATACTTCCTAATAATGGGGGTAATGATTACCTCCTTTACCATTCATTATATCGTCAACGCATGGGTCAGTCCCTAGGATGCAGTAGGCATCCAGTAAGTATTTGTTGAATAAATGACAAAATATATGTAAGTACTTTAAAGTTTTGGAAGATTGACAAATTGATGAAGATCGGAAGAGCTCATCATTTGCCTTAAGCAAATTGATGACAGCAACTTTTGCACTAGTTTTAGAAGCAGGGTGTTATTTTGAACTTATTTGCATAACTTTGATCAGTAATGCAGATAAACTTTCTGTATATTAGAAAGTTACGTTTCCCTTTCTTTGGAATTACTCTTAGTGACTTTTGCCAGTATTCCTTAAGAAGTTCTTGGCAATATTTTAATCAATTTGTATGTTGTATTTACACAATTACACTTTCAAATCTTTTTTTTTGTTTTATCAGTGTTGATATTACCTTAGTTTAAAAGTCTTCACATGAATACAGGTATACGTTTGTTTTTGCAAAATGTATCTATATTTCTTTTAAGAACTCTTTAAATATGTGTATACTTAGAAAGTATTTAGTTCTAAATATAGTTTGAATATTTTTCTATGTTTTTTCTAATTATTTTTAGTTTAACTTATTTGGTTTTGAATATTTAATTCACCTTGAATTTGTTTTGGTTTTTATTCATAATCCTTGCCTGGCATATTAAAATAGCAATTTATCAAAATATCTGCTTTGTTTCTTCTCCCTTTAAATGTGTCCCCTGTCATGCTAACAAAGTGAACTTTCTAGATTATAGTGCTTATCATTTCTTCCTATTCTATAATGTATTTTCAACAGTCTAAAGTGCCTTAAGATTTAAAGCAAGACCATTCTGAAGATAGACCCTACTAACTGCCCAGCCATGTTTCCCCTGATTCCCTTTACATAAATATCTCTTGAAAACATTAAAGGTTTATTATTAAATATATTTTGCTGTTTCAAACTTTCATGTTGCATCAGTCTGTAAAAGAAAATGTTATCATGTATTAGTCTGTTTTTATGCTGCTGATAAAGACATACTGGAGACTGGACAATTTACATAGGAAAGAGGTTTAATGGAGAACTCACAGTTCCATGTGGCTATGGAAGCCTCACAATTGTGACAGAAGGAAAGGAGGAGCAAGTTACATCTTACGTGGATGGTGGCAGGTAAAGAGAAGACAGCTTGTTCAGGGAAACTTCCATTTTTAAAACCATAACATCTCGTGAGACTCATTCACTATCATGAGAACATTGCAGGAAAGCTTCCACCAATAATTCAATCACCTCCCACTGGATTCTTCCCACAACAAGCGGGAATTGTGGGAATTACAATTCAAGATAAGACTTGGGTGGAGACACAGCCAAACCATATCATATGTTTTTTGAATCATTATCTGGTCATAGCTAAAAATTCAGAAAAAATTACAAAGAAATATAACTGGATTTGTTATTTTAAAAATTTCTGAACAGTTAGAATGCACTTAGAGTAACATTTACATTATAGTATAAAACATATTAAAAAGGGTTTATTATGAGGGCAAAATCATATTTTTATAGTTCTATTTGCTTTTGAGAATAGCATCTTTTACAACACAAATTTAGTTTGTTTAGAAGACCAAAACACAAATATTCTGGCTAGAGTAAAGAAACACATTCAATGCTACATCTCATGAATATTGACATACAGAATGAATTAAAATTGACCTGGATCTGAGAACTGTCACATGGGTAGTGAGCTGGCTAAACATGTATAAACATAAGATAATGATAAATGGCAAAATATCAAGATAAAAAGAGCTGCATGTTGGACTACCATAGAGATAAGATTTAGAAAGTTCTTAAATTTAGGACAGATTAATGATGTTCAAACTAGATAGATATTTTGATAAATTATATCAAATTTCACAGCTTATTAACTGGAATATGTTATTAAAAGTTTCATAAAGACATAGATGTAAATATGAAATAAACAACTGTGACAGAAATATTAAAAGAATAAACAATAAGAATGTAATATAACTAATTTTTTAATACAATAACTCACTTTGTTTATTACTATCTATGAATAGCGATAAAATATATTAGATGCTGGCTCCAAAAATGCTGGCAAAAACTTTAATCTGTTACTTTAGACCACAAAAGCACTCAAGTTAAAAATGAGTGCAGAAGTTTATAGGTAGCATGTAGATGCATTTTCTACATTTCCCCATCCTTCGCTACAAAGACATAATTTAGATGAAATAGTGTTTTATTTGCCAATTCGATGTTGCAATACATTATAGTTCAATGCATAAATGTATAAAATTTATATATTTTGTGCAATGTATGAAAATTAACAGTAACTAATACATATCTGCATTATATTTGACCAGAATAGAAGCTCTAATATTTAAATTACCTAATGGGAAAATCCTTTGCTAAAAAAGAACTACTCTATAACTTGTTTATGGCTGAATTTTTAATTTTTTTTGTAGCCCTGAGTAAAACAGAAAAAAAGAATTGATATAAACCAAAAAATTACTTTGGCTCTTGCCTGGAGTTGACCCTTATAGACACATAATCATTAATTCTGAGTTCACAAAATTCCAAACCTAAAGTCCACAAATATTTTAACTAAAAAAAAAAAGACTAAAACTAAAGTGATTTAAAAGTGAACAAAAAGTTTAAGTAATTATTTCTTTTTTATCATTCCACCAATATATTCCAATTTTATATTTGAAATTTGAAATTAACAATCTAATTTATATAATGTGTTATGTTATTTTCATTAGTTGAATTTATTCTACAGAAATAAAGTTGGTATCTGTCTTCTTTTTCATCTAGGTTGTTTTATCAGTACAAACCTCTGATTTAAACCTTATGCTACCTCCCCATGCAGTCACAGTCAGTTGACCCTAACTTGATATTTGCATATTAGCACATTCGGAGATAAATAACAGCAGTTTTCTTTTTTTGTCAACATAATGCACAAATTATTAGATGAGCCTTATTTTCTCTATCAAGTTCCAGGAAGTACATAGCCACAGAGAGAATGTTTCCAAAGTACAGGATAATTAGTATGTTAGTAATAATAACCACCAGAATGTGCTTAGATTTACTATGCCATAGAACCTCTTCTATTTTCTATGCACATATATTATAGCATTTGACATTTCCAGAAAACTCAATGGAATGTTGTAATTTTTTCCTACATGTTGTTCATGGTCACACAGCAACTGAATAGTGCATCTTAGATTTTCAAGCATGCCTACTTAATTTGAAAGTTATGCCATTCCTCATACATGTCATTCATTAATTCTGTTCATTTGTCCATGGACATTTTAATTAGAATGTCATTATATTATATGTGAAAATTAAAATTTTCTCTTCTTTCGTAGCTGAAATTGTAAACAGAGTTTCCAGCAGTTTTTCGTCATATTCTAATATAATTTACTTTGATATTAATTGTCATTTATTGTTTAAACTCCTCCTCCAGGTGAGGGTATATCTTGACTTCAAATTGCAATCTTGCAGGAACAGGTGAGTAGAGTTGCCAGGTATAGAAAACACTATCCTGATTATTCTCCAAAAAGGTAAACTTTTCATATTAGTTCAGTAGAGACACAAAGAATCAGGATGAAACTCCAAAGCCGCAGCCTAAAGTGACTTAGCTAGGAACTATGGACAAAGGCAACTCTTTGCCCTCTGACTGCACTGAATAGAACTGGTTCATGCCATATTGCTTCAATTATTAAAAAGCGACAAAATTTTAAAAATATTTTACATTGTGATCTCCTTTCCATGAAAGTAAGAGACTG
Source organism: Homo sapiens (assembly GCF_000001405.40). Taxonomy (NCBI): domain Eukaryota; kingdom Metazoa; phylum Chordata; class Mammalia; order Primates; family Hominidae; genus Homo; species Homo sapiens. The sequence continues at coordinate 92,570,786 of NC_000006.12, read as the reverse complement.
TCAATATATTGCTCATTGATACTTAAGTGGGTATAATTTCATGTTAGGGCTCAAAGGAAAACAATTTTAATTATAACAAACAGTATTTCTCAAGCTAGTATTTTAATTGTTTATCTAAGTAACAAGTCATAGTACTTGAAATGCAGAAATGAATCCTGGGCTGGTAATATGGTTTGGCTCTGTGTCTTCATCCAAATCTCATTTTGTAGCTCCCAGGATTCCTACATGTTGTGAGGGGGACACGGTGGGAGATGATTGAATCATGGGGGCAGGTTTTTCCCATGCTGCTCTAGTAATAGTGAATGGGTCTCATGAGATCTGATGGCTTTAAAAGCGAGAGTTTCTCTGCACAAGCTCTCTCTTGGCCTGCTGCCATCCATGTAAGATGTGACTTGCTCCCTCCTTGCTTCCCACCATGATTGTGAGGCTTCCCCAGTCAGGAGGAACTGTAAGTCCAATAAGCCCCCTTTTCCTGTATAAATTACCCAGTCTTGGGTAAGTCTTTATCAGCAGTGTGAAAATGAACTAATACAGCTCGTTTGGATGTATGCACATCAACACTTAAACCAACAACCCTGTATCCAGAGTAGCAAAATATGTTGTTTCTTGGAAAATTAGGGGAGCATTAACTAGCAGTCAAATATTTAAATAGAAATATGACTTAGCAGCCAATAGTATATAAACAATGGAGTATCTAACTACATAATACTATTTACAGATGCACTTACAAACATGTTTCAAAATTTATAAGGACTGATTCTAAATAGAGCATTTTAAATGAGTAGATGGAAACAATAATTTTATTTTAGGTTAACTTTGCCATTTTTTAAAAAAAGTATGGATATTTCAGAAAATGTTAAGTACTCTCCAGTGAAAGATAGTTAATATTGAAAAAAAAATTATGACAGTATATTTACATAACCAGAAAGAACAATAAAGAGATTTGATCTAAGCATATCTGTAAAGTTAAGAGAATATTTGTTCACATATTGTGTTATCAGTGGTGCTGCCAAACATAAATACCCAAATTATTAGTTTGTTTTGGAAACTATTAGGATTTCATTGCTATTTTATAAAATTGAATTATTTAAAGAAGAAAACTTACTCTACCTGAGTACCCTTAAATGCTATCAGTTTATAAAAGAGTCTCTAATAAAACCACTAAGTCTCTCACAATGACAGATATTATTTATGAACAATACATCTAGAATATAGCTCTATTTCTTGAATATAAGTTCATCAGAATGAAATTCAATATTGACAAATCATATAAGAACATAATTAATAAATCAATTTAATTCTAAAGCATTGGTATTTTTCTATGTATAGAAGTGAAAGTTTTTTTCCAATAGAGAAATGTTTGTTCTCAGAAAAATTTACTAAATGCTATATTGCTAGTTAAAATTTGAGTTTCCTTTCTAATAGAGGGGTTAATTTCCCTTCATGGGAAATACATACACTAAAAATGTTATATATACACAAGTAGGTAGGCATACACACACATAGATATATTTTTTGTTGTGATGAAATGACTTATTTCAGTCTTACCAAAATCAGGGTCTTCATAAATACTTCTAAAAATATCTTTAGCTATTTTAGATACAGTGTTTAGGAAAAGTACTTGCTTTTAGTGTTAAGCTTTTTAATTTTCCTCCATCAATAATAGATAATCAATTTGAACCAATTTTCTTCTTTTCTAATGCATTTATTTAGCAGTGATTTATGCGCTCATACCAAACAATTCAGCCAAAGCAACTTCCACCCCTGAGCATTAAACATTTGATCAATATAAGAATTCCATTGTAGAAAATAGTGTTAAAAGTTTATTCATTCAGTGCACTCTTTAGAGATGATTAACTGTCTTTATTATATTAAAGCAAACCCAAAGCCATCTGCCAAAGGCGATTGTGTCCAAGCACTGAAACCATTTCATGTGAAAACTCATTTTCAGGCTCCTAATTATTTTTCATTATAGTGGCAGTGTGGAATAGATTGGAATTGGACAGTAATTGCCAGGTCTGAGCAGTGTGGACCATTGCAATGTATCAGTTTAGATGAAGTGTGACAAGGATACATCTAGCTACTATATAAATTCCATTAACCAACTTCCCTGTCCCTGATCATGTAACACTTCATAGAATGTGGTCAGCACAAGGTCATAATAATGGCTTTCTGACTGACTTCAAGTATTTTGTACAAGTGCAAGCTGTTAACCCCCTGTGTTAGCATTGTTCTAGTAATGTCCAGTTATTACAGTTGTCAAAAGTATCTTTTTCTGCAAGAGGGACAAGTAAACTTTTAAAAAGTATAACTTTCAAACTCAAGTATGACTTCTTTCACATGTAATGTTCTAACAGGAAAATCATACCTAAAATAAAAAAAAAATGGTTTCATATAAGATCATTTTAAGTGGTAATTACGCAAATACTAGTCAGTCAATCCAATATACTGATCATAAAAGTTCTATCCAAACAGAAAACAGACTCAAATAATTTCTGCATGTACAACCAAATAGTCGGTTTTAAAGCAAACTGAGCAGTAAAGCAGAACAGTTATATTTATAGATAAATGTTTCCATAAAGAAGTTTCTTCCACAGTGGTAACACTAGTGGAATTTTTGAGAGATTCTCAACCAGGGGAGCTTGCCCTGCAAAGGTGACATTTGACAATGCCTGGAGACATTTTTGGTTGTCACAGTAAAAGGAGTATTAATAGTATCTTGTGTGTAATTTTCAAGGATGCTGCTGAACGTCCTACAATACACAGGACAGTTCACCACAAAAAAAGACAATAGAGAATTATTTGCCTAAAATAACAGTGTTAAGATTGAGAAACCCTAAAATATGTGTGTTAAGTTACTTTCTATTTGATTTCCTGATCTCTTAAATGTAAAAAGTCTTATTTCTTTGATGATTAACTTATCTTGAATATTGCCCTCTATGGAACTTTCAGTTATCAATATTACTTATTAATAACTTTTTCATCTGTAATAAATTATATTTTACTTGACATAGCTTCGTACACACTAGAGACTGGGATTTTTGATTAATCTTTCTTTCTGTAAAATATTTTTATGGCCTTTCTGAACTAATTGTTTCATATGATCCTAGACTATACGTACACTAGCAAAAGTCTGCTGAAGAAATGAAATGCTTTCTTTTTCAGACAGAGCTGATTCAAACACATTTGAGAGAGTAGGCATTCTAATTTGATGCTTATTTTTTTAATGCCATGTAAGTGATGGGGTGAAATAATTTGCTTCAGGTCATACTGAATGTGGTGATAGAAACAGTCATGTAACTTAAATATTTAAAATATTTTTAGAATTTTCCATTTTATATATTTCTGTAATAATTGTATAGCTATGATCACATGCACCATTATACGTATTTCTTCTATATGTTTGATGTCTTAGCATATTTATTTTCTAAGTGAAAAATTTCCAATTGCTTTCAGTTTTTCAATTCCTGTATACCTTTTAGAATGGTTAATATTTTTGTAAGGGTATCACAGAGTGTTTACCTCTATATCTCTTCCACCAGGCTTCAAATCCTTTCAAAATGTTAAAGGCATCTAGAGATAATAATCTTCAAATCCATTTAAAAAGCTAGCATGCCCCATATAGTTTTATGATTTAAAATAATGTTAAAATTTGAGAAATGTCTGGTCAAATTGATAAGTGAGCATTTTTCTTATTTTTCAAACAAGCTTAACAATGTGGTTGAATTTATGCAGTTGCAACTATTTAGATAACTCATTGAGAAATGAACTATTTGAACCACTAATTGAGAAGACTAGTTTTGATGAACGAAATTGTCTAAGTTAGAGAGCCATAAATCCCTACTTTCATTTAGTATTTCTAACTCTCTCCTCGACCTTGTGCTCTGTTCTGGGCAGTCTATTATGAGTTTAATCATAGGTTATAAATATATGTCACAACTGAGCTGATTAACACGTGGGTCTACCCATGTATAGCAGAAAGGAACATGACCAAATGACCCAACTAGAGTGCTGTAGTCCGCAAAATGCTCACAGTAGACACTGTACACTATTCAGTGATGTTTAATTCTGCTTTTATTCACATAAATCTAGTCATACAACTTAAAGTAAATTATCTTTATATTATTAATGTATATCTTAGGGATATATCATTATTCTTTCTCTCTGGCTCTCACACTCATATTTATCAAGCATCTATTTGTACTGGTACTGGTTAAGCAGTTTAAAAAGACATAGTTTCTTACTTCTAGAAATCCTCAATCCATAAGATAGCAGCAATTCTGATAAGGAGAATATGACTAACAAATAGTAATAAAAAGTGAGTAAAGAGAGAGTAATGATTTAAGACAGAAAATTGATATCAATACAGTTAACCTTTGAATAATGCAGGGGTTTGGGTACCAGCCCCCACCCTGACAGTTGAAAATTCACATATAACTGTTGACTTCCCAAGAGCAAAACTACTAATAGCCTACTGTAGATCAGAAGCCTTATTGATAAAATAATCAATTAACTCACATTTTGCATGTAATATGTATAATGTATTATGTACTAGATGCTTACAATAAAGAAAGAGAAAATGATATTAAGAAAATCATAAGAAAGAGAAATTATGCTTATTTTTTAATAAGTGGAAGTAGATCTTCATCCTCGTTGTCTTCACGTTGAGTAGGCCGAGGAGGAGGAGGAAGGGAAAGGGTTGGTCTTGCTGTTTCAAGGGCACTAGAGGCAGAAAAGTTGGAGGAAGTGGAACGGGAGGCAGGAAATGGAGGCATACTTGTAACTTTACAGTAATATATCTTAATTTCTGTCTAACATTTTTCCAATTTTATTTCTCTAAAAATGTTTCTACATGATACCAAATTTTCTTCCACTGTTTGCTTTAGTTTAGACGCCTGTATTATAGAATGGTCCACATCATAAAAGAAGTAAAAACAGTCTTGAATAATCAGAATGATTCTGCCAGACTGTCTAATGTCAGTTTGTTTTCTTGCACTGCTTCTTCTGTATCTTATCACCTAGCATTCATTTGAAAGCATTTGTTTCCATCAGGCTGTCTTCTGCAAATTCCTCTGGTGTGGTGTCTATTAGTTCTTGGTGGCTTTCATGGATTTATTAATAACAATGATGATGTCTTCAATGGTTGAAATTTTCCAGACTTTCATGATGTTCTTTTCCGTAGTGTTGACAATCCTTTCCATAGAGGACCCTGTACAATGAGCCTTAAAGTTTCTTACAACCCTCTTATGTACAGGTTGGATTAGAGACATTATGTTTGGGGCAAGTAGAGCACTTTGATGCATTCAGTATTGAACTCAGTTGTCAGAGGCATTTTCCAATATCAAAATAACTTTAAAATGGAGTCCCTTACTGTCAGGCTACTTCTTGACTTCAAGGACAAAGCATTGCTGGAACCAATCCAGAAAAAAGGTCCTCATTGTTTGGACTTTCTTGTTGCATAATCAAAAGACTGGCAACTGGCGTTAATCTGTTCCCTTCAGAGCTCAGACTTAGTTGACTGAAGCTTTGGGGAAAGGGAAGTCATGAATATAAACTTCACTGCATTTGCACAAAACAGTAGGGTTAGCCTATGCTTTCCTGTCTTAAATCCTGGCGTTTGCTTCTCTTTCTTACTAATAAATATCCTCTGTGGCATTTTCCCCCCAGATTATGGCAGTACTATGTGCATTAAATACCTATTCAATTGTTTTAAAATGGCAGCATTTAAGCAACTGGCTTCACACTTCCTCTTAGAAAACCAAACCAAATATACAGTGCCAAGATTTTTACCAGCAACAGTTCAGAACTCAAATATGAGGATGAGACAGATCCCAGGAGCACAGAAAAGTGAAAAAACTCTGAGCAGATGGTAAAAGAATTGGACTTCCACACTCATGATAACCCTCTCTCATCCTGCCCAGCAAGAATTATACAGAAAATATTCTTCCATCTCATGGTGTTTACACTGAAAAAAGTGATATTGAGGCAGCAACCAGCTTTTTGGATTCTCGTGTTCCCTGGCAGGAGACCTGTTCTTGCCTTAACTGAAGGGAAGCATTTCAATAGCCTGATGAGAAAAATATCTGTGAGAACAGACACAGACAATTGAGGAGGTGGAAGTATTAACCCCGGTCCTAGAAACTGTTCTGTAACTTGGCCAAACGAGATGACAAGTTAGAGTGGCTGTAGAGCAACACCATGCTGTAAGAGGTTTGTTTCACAAGTCCCTGGAACATAAATATCTAGCCAGTCTTCTCACACTGCCTAGATAATACATTTGGGACTTCCCCCGATGGAGTTAAAGTGCAGATTGTGTGTGTGTGTGTGCATGTGTGTGTGTGAGTTTGCCTTTGTTTCAATTCTTTTATTTGTGATCAAAGATAAGTTGGCATCTCTTTAAAATAATTCATTACAGCTACAAGGATTTTTGTGTAGTCCTCATGGTAACCACAACACAAAAACTTGTCATAGGCTCACTAAAACCAAACAAAAGCAACAAATGAAAACATACTGCCAGAGAAAATAACCACAAAGGAACACAGTAAGAAAGGTAGAAAGGAAAAGAGGAGTCTCACATAAGCAGAAAACAGGCAACAAAATGGCAATAGTAAGTCCTTACCTATCAATGATATAAATGGTCTCAATTCTTCAGTTAAAAGACATATCATGGCTGAATGGACAAAGAAACAAGAGTCAACTATATGCTGCCTTAAATAAACCCACTTCACCTATAAAGACACACATATATTGAAAGTGAAGGGATGGAAAAAGTTATTCCATGTAAATGGAAGCAAAACAAGAACAGGAGTAGCTATACCTATATCCAGTAAAATAGACTACAAACCCAAGATTGTAAAAAGACACAAAGAAGGTCACTATGTAATGATAACTGTGTTAATTCAACAAGAGTATATGACAATTATAATTACTTATGCACCAAACACTGGAGTTCCCAAGTATATAAAGCAAACATTAATAGATCTGAAGATATAAATATACTGCAATACAATAATAGCAATTAACATCTCACTCTCAACGAACAGATTAACCAGACAGAAAATCAACAAAGAAGCAGCATAGTTAAACTACACACTAGATTTGGAAGGCGTAAAAAACATTTACAAAACATTGCACCCACCTGCTACAGAATACGCATTCTTTTCATCAGCACATGGAACAATCTCCAGAATAGGCCATGTCTTAGGCCATGAGACAAGCCTGAACAACAACAACAACAACAAAGACAGAAATCATATTAAGTATCTTTTTCTGATAACAATGGAATTAAACTACTAATCAGTAACAAGAAGAACCTGGAAAGTATGCTAACGTGGAAATTAAACAACAGGCTCCTGAATGACCAATGGGTCAATGAATAAATTAAGAAGGAAATTAAATAATTTCTTGAAACAAATGAAAATGGAAATAGAACATACTAAAATCTATGGGATATAGCTTAAAGAGCACTGAGAGGAAGTTTATAAACTACATGGTTATGTTGAAAATGTAGGTAGACTTCAAATAAATAACCTAACAATCCATTCCAAGGAACTAGAAAGCAAGAACAAGCCAAATTCCAAATTAGTAGAAGGAAAAAAAATTAATAAAGATCTAAGCAGAAATAAATGAAAAAGAGTCAACAAAATTACAGAAGTTTAACCAAACGGAAGTGGGCTTTGTGAAAAGATAAAAAAAAAATAGACAAAGTTTAGCTAAACTAAGAAAAAAGAGAAGACCAAAGTAAATAAAATCAGAAACAAAAAGGAGAATAACCACTGAGACCACAGAAATGCAAAGAATCAAAGAGACTACTGTGAACAACTAACTAAACATGAACAAATTGGAAGAAATGGATAAATACCTGGAGATATACAACCCACCAACATTGGACCATGAGGACACAGAAAACTTCAACAAACCAAAAACAAGTAATGAGACTGAAGCCATCATCAAAAGTCTCCCATCAAAGAAAAGTCTAGGACCTGATGGCTTGACTGCTGGATTCTAGCATTCAAGAACATTTAAAGAACTAATACCCATCCTACCAAAACTCTTTAAAAAAAATTGAAGAGGTCAGACTTCCAAACGCATTCTGTGAGGCCAGATTACCCTGATACCAAAACTAGACAGGGGAATAACAATAAAATAAACTATATGCCAATATAACTGTTGAACATATATAGAAACATCCTCAGCAAAATAGTAGCAAACTGAATTCAACAACCCATTAAAAAAATCATTTCCTGTGATCAGGTGGGATTCATTACAGGGATGCTTGGATAATTCAACATACACAAATTAATAAATATATATGAAATTAACAGAATCAATAACAAAAAACATATGATTGCCTCAATAGATGCTGAAAAAGCATTTGATAAAATTAACATCCCTTTATGATAAAAACTTTCATCATATAGTATAGTGGGAATATAATTCAAAATAATAGAAATCATATATGACAAACCCGAAGCTAACATTTTACTGAAGGGGGAAAAATTGCAGGCCTTTCCTGTAAGGATTGAAACAAGGCAACAATGGCCACTTTCACCACTTTTATTTGACATAACACGAAATCCTGGTCAGAGCAGTTATGCAAGAGAAAGGAATAAAGGACATCTAACTTTAAAAGGAGGAAGTCAAATTATCCTTGTTCACATATGGCATGATTTTATACCTGGAAACCACTAAAAAGTCCAGCAAAAAAACCTGTTAAAACAAATAACCAATTCAGTAAATTTGCATGACAGAAAATCAACATGCGAAAATCAGTAGCATTTACATATGCCAACAGCAAATAATCTAAAATCTAAATCATGGAAACTATTTTATTTATAATAGCTACAAAAATATGAAATACCTAAGAAGCAATCTAACCAAAGAAGTGAATGATGTATAGAAGGAAAACTATAAATCTCTGATGAAAGAAATTGAAGAGGATACACAAAACAGTAGAAAATGTTTCATACTCATAGATTGGAAGAATTAATACTGTTAAAATGGCAATACTATTCCAAAGCTATTTACAGATTTCATGCAAATTCTATCAATATACCAATGACATTCTTCACAGAAATATAAGAAAAGTCTTAATATATATATGGAATGAAAGACCCCCAAAAAGCCAAATCAATACTGAGCAAAAAGAAAAAAGCTGAAGGCGTCATATTACCTGACTTCACAATTTACTACAAAGCTATAGTAACCAAATCAGCATAGTACTCGCATAAAAACAGTCACATGGACAAATGAAAGAGAATAGGGAACGTTGATATAAATCTACACATTTACAGCCATCTCATCTTCAACAAAGATGGCAAGAACATACAAATAAAAAGCATGATCATTGTAATAAATTATGCTGAGAAAACTGTGTAACTATATGCAGAAGAATGAAACTAGACCTCTGTGTCTTACCATATGGAAAAATCAAATCAGGATGGATTAAAGACTTAAATCTAAGACCTGAAACTGTGAAACTACTAGAAGAAAACATTGGAAAATGCTCCAGAACGTTTGTCTGGGCAAAGATTTCTTGTGTAAAACTTCAAAATCACACTCAACCAAAGCAAAAATAGACAAATAGGATTATATCAGGCTAAAAATCTTTTGCACAGCAAAGAAAACAATCAACAAAGTGAAAAGACAACTCACAGAATGGGAGAAAGTATTTCTGAACTAACCATTTGGCAAAGGATTAATAACCAGAATATATAAGGAACTTAAACAACTCAATAGCGGTAATAATAATAATAATCTGATTTAAAATGGGCAAAAAAATGTAAACAAACATTTCTCAAAAGAAGACATACAAATGGCCCACAGGTATAAGAAAAAAATGCTCAATATCATAAATTATCAGGAAAATAGAAATCAAAACCGCAAGATATCATCTCATCCTAGTTAAAATGGCTTGGATCAAAAAAGCAATAAGAAATGCTGGTGAGGATGCACAGAAAGGTTAACCCTCCTACACCACTAGTAGGAATTAAATTGGTACAGCCACTATGGAGAACATGTGGGTGTTCCTCAAAAAACTACAAATGGAGCAGGATCCAGCAATTCTACACTAAGTATATGTCCAAAAGGAAAAAAATGTATTAAACAGCTATCTGTACTCCCGTGTTTATTGCAGCATTATTTACAATAGCCAAAATATGGAATCAACCTATATGCCCATCAACAGGTGAATAGATGTGATATGTCTACACAATGGAATATTATTTAGCCTAAAAATGAAATTCTGTCATTTGCCATAGTGTAGATGGAACTGGAAGCCATTATGTTAAGTGAAATAAGCCAGAACAGAAAGACAAATATTTCATGTTCTCATTCATATGTTGGAGCTAAAGAAGTAGGTTTCATGAAAATAGAGAGTAGATTGGTGGTTTCTAGAGACTGGAAAGGATTGGAAGGCAGAGGGATGAAGAGAAAAAAGAATATAAATGTAGTTATTCCCATTTAAGTGTACACTTAAAAAGCGTAAAAATGAAAAAAAAAACAGCAAAAATGGTAATTTTATATGTATATTTTTCCTCAGTAAATACAATTTAAAATCTTCTTCGAGCAGATATCCTTTCTCAATTATTTTCTTAATGGTCCTGGGAACGTATCTGCTACCTCTTTATTGAAAGAAGCTGCTTCTCCTGTTATCTTGACATTTTTTGAACCAAATCTCTTTCTAAAATCATTAAACCATCTTTTGCTGGCATTAAATTCTCCTTTGTCATATGATTATCTTTTCTCAAATCATATTAGAGTCTGTAGATATGCTTTTCTTACAGCAATCCTGCACCCACATTGATATGGTTTGTTATTTCTGTCCCTGACCAAATCTCCTGTCAAATTGTAGGAGGGGCCTGGTGGGAGGTGATTTGATAATTAGGGCAGATTTCCCTGTGCTTTTCTTGGAGAGCAAGTGAATTCTCAAGAGATCTGATCGTTTAAAAATGTGTGGCACTTCCCCTTTCACTCTTGCCCTCTCGCCAGTCATGAGAAGAAGGTGCTTGCTTCCCCTTCACCCTTACATCATGATTGTAAATTTCCTGAGGCTTTCCGGCCACGCTTCCTGTTAAGCCTGCGAAACTGAGTCAATGAAACCTCTTTTCTTCATAAATTATCCAGTCTCAGGTAGTTCTTCATAGCAGTGTTAGAATGGACTATTACATGGATAAAAACTGCATTTTCAATAGGGTATAAAAAGGTATTTCTCAAAAAAAAAAGAAGAATGGTTTTCCTTCCTGCTGGTGTAGTTGCATCTATGGTTTCAAAAATTTCCTTTTATTTATTTACAGTGGTCCTTACACTGAATTCTTTTATCTTGAAATGGCAGACAACTGCAGCTGCAAATGTCAATCTACAGCATATATCAAGAAATTCAACTTTTTATTATAATGCCATGACTTTTCTCTACTTGTTGGGAGCATTTCCAGCATTAATAGTGGCAAATTGTATGGGTCCCATGGTGTTATTCGAGGTTTATGGTATTGCACTAAACATGACGAAAATATGGGAGAACCATGAGAGATCACTTTTTGCTGAATCTGCAATTTACTGTAGAGAGAAGCTGCTCACATGGAGATGATTAGTGTCACATGAGCCACTCTTGAGCTCACCACAATAGCAACAGGAGTTGGCTACAAAATTAGTACTGTAGTACAGTATGTACTGTGGTTAGTTTAATGCAGTTATAATGTAATACTGCATCTTCATGTTTGTTTACATTTCTCAGAGCTGTAAATGGGGCCATGTATGGTCTGTAAGTGTTTGTGTGTCTAAGTTTTGATAAAGCTTAACATTTTATAATAGATTTGTATATATTATGTGTTCATAAAATGCTTAACTTTTTTTGGTATTTCTAGGCTATGTGGATTGTCTGTAAGGTTTTGCAAATTGTTGCAAATCTGTAACAAAATTTCAATTATACTTATTGAAAAAATTCACATATAAGTGGACCCACACAGTTCATACTTGTATTGTTTAAAGGTCTACTATATATTGAATTAGCATATATACTTAAATATTAACAGAAAAGTCAAACACTGAATAGAAAAGTTGCCGTATAATATAAACAGTTATTTCTGAGTAAAGTAGATACACATAGCCAATAAAAATATTTAAAAAATTATTTCAGTAGTAACCAGTAATTTGCATATTATAGTTAAGGAATAATGATTTCATTTGTTAGATGTATATAATATAAAAGATGAGTATTACCTAAACTTGATAAAACTGTAGGAGTGTTTATTGGTAAAACAGTAGATGTAAAGCAACTTGGCAATGTATCTATCAAACTTTTTAAAACATATATAATATTGACCCAGAGAGTGTAGTGTTAATATTATATTTTAAAGAAACCCTCACCCATTTGATGAGAGATTTTTATCATGTAAATGCTCAGTGCAGTATTATCTTAATAGAAAAAGAAAAGAAACAAGAACAAAAACAATACCAATAAAACGGATACAACATAAAGTGTCAAATAAATTACACTATATCTCTCTGAAAAAATGCTATGTATAATTTTTTTAAAAAAAGTATATTTCTATTTCAGCAAAACTGTTAGCTGTTTTTTTCTTTAATGGTGATGAGAAATATGGAGTAAGAGGAGAATTATTGTCAACTATCGCTTTGAGTTTCTCTTTTTACAATGAGATTACTTTTGTACGCTAACATTTGAAATCATGTAATTTGAAATGACAGATGAAAAGGGAAGAATGGTGTGAATCTTATATTTGCAAATGTGACATTTATGATCATATCCATATACAAGGGGCAGCTCGTTTCCCTGCAGGTTTTTGGCTGCCTTTTACCCTTTAAGAGCAGGGCCTTGGTGAAAAGCAAAATCCCATGTTCCCCACATGCCTGCTTCTAAAGCAGACATTTTTCACTGCCAGGGATGTCAGTCTCCATTTCTTTTCTTATATTCTTTGCTTCTACAGCTCAACATAACTATTCACATGTGAAAACACAAAACAATATTGAAAGACCTAGCTATACAATTCTTTTTTTTTTCCATTTTAACTGTTACTACCCAAAGCCCCAATTTATCTTGGTTTTATCTAGGCTTGATTAGAATGTTTCTTTGTAATTTATCCTAAATCTTAATTTAAGATTAACAGCTCTCTCTGGATCTACAGCCTTACTTATAGATAAAGCTGCCATTGATAATGGTATTAAATCAGAACTCAGTGTCCCCTTAGCAACAAGACTTTGACAGCAGGGTTATACTATACTCCAACCTTTTTTAAGAAAACAGCTTTTTTTTTTCTCTCTCTGACCACTAAAAATATTCCTTAAAAAGATCAAAGAAATAACTGAAAGAACTCAAAATATCATCGTAAGAGAAAATCTGCCAACTTTCAAAGTTTAGAAAACGAGAAAATTATAGAATTACATGGGATTGTTTGGGTATTAAATTCAGCTACACATGGTATCATTAGCATGTTGCACATAAAGCAATTTTTACAGTCACTGAAAAACTGAGGATTTACGACAACGAATTCCTATGTTAGATGACCTTGGTTCATATCTTGCCTTAGATGTGGACTACTTTAGTGATCTTGAACAAGATAACATGTACCATATTCCGGAATTATTGTTTAATCATTATTATCTTTCTGAAAATAGAGTCTAACTGATATATTGAGACATAATTGAGACTTCATATAGTTTAAACTAACAAATAGGATATTTGTTAACTGAAATATCTTGTCTTAAGACTCACTTCACCACCTAGCACATGTGCCTGCAGTAGTACGTACCTCATAGGGGTATTAAATGTGGAGAACTGTGGTCACCATTTAATGAACATTACTATCAGTAATATAGTTACTTTAAAAAACTATAAAGCTGGATTAAATACATGTTCAAATGCAAATTTTGTTTAAAGCAATGGAAAAAAATCTGGGAAGCTATATTCTATTCCAAGAGTATTATCCTAGAAATGTATGATTTTGCACCATGGGATAAGTCATACGAAAAAACTAAAAACGTATCCGCAAACTTATTTTCAGGGTTTAAGTTCCATAATTATTACAGTTCCTGAAATAGTTATTCTAAAGTAAAATGATATTTTAGGATAAATAACGATTTATACCAAGTATCCAGTTAGTTAATATTTCTAAACTTTCTAAAAAGCATTTCAGTCGTTGAATTGAAATAATTTCACACATGAGCCATATGCTTTTTGAGAGATTAAAACAACAAAAAGCCACCTCAAGAAAAAATAGCATCATCAGCAGCAAATTTATAGACCCCACATCAGTGGTCTTCAGTGTGGATTTGAAGCATGTAGCAGTATTTGACACCAGTTTAACTGTAAACAGATGCAAGTACACTCCTGAATTTATGTCTCTGTACCTAGTCAGAAGTAGCCTATCCCGAAGTTTACTATTTATATTAGGTTTTTATATAATTAAGAAAATGCACTATGCATTTTAAAGTTTCCTATGATTTTTTACAAATTGTTCTGATCATCCTCTGCAGCAGAAAGTCAAGGAATGGGTTATCATTCTAACAAGGTCTGTCTCCTGACTTTTTTTTTTTTAATATTTATTTATTTATTTAATTTTGAGACGGAGTCTCTCTCTGTCACCAGACTAGAGTGTAATGGCAGGGTCTCGGCTCACTGCAACCTCCGCCTCCTGTGTTCACACCATTCACCTGCCTCAGCCTCCCGAGTAGCTGGAATTACAGGTGCCCGCCACCACACCTGGCTAATTTTTTGTATTTTTTTAGTAGAGACGGGGTTTCACCGTGTTAGCCGGGATGGCCTCGATCTCCTGACCTCGTGATCTGCCCACCTCGGCCTCTGAAAGTGCTGGGATTACAGGCGTGAGCCACCGCGCCTGGCCCAGTTTTCACTACAGTTATTTTCCTCCAGAGGGGAATGTGACAGGTGATGCCTCGGAGGAATCCGACAGATCCAAGCCGCCTCTGTAATGATGTGGTCAAGGAGGTTCCACTCTCCCTCCTGAGTGGAGCCTGAAGTCATGCTCACTTCTTAGAGGACTTTTCCATGGTGGGAATCAGTCTCTGGCAGGAGGGAAAGAAGAAAAACAAAAACATTTGAACAGAGAGCCCAACAAAGGGAGACCAGAACAAGAAAGGAATTTCCAGAAGTTCATTCTAGGTTTATTTGCATTAAAAAGTGATTTGTATGAACAGTGAAAAAATAACGTACCATATTTTGGATTTATTGTTTCCTCATGATTATCTTTCTGGAAATAGAGTCTAACTGAGATACTGAGACATAATTCAGATTTTATATAGTTTAAATTAAGAAATAGGATATTTGTTAACTAAAACATCTAAAATTTCTTTAAGAAATCTCAATGTGAGAAACAGTTTTCCTTACATTTTATTGTTCTTTGATTTTTACTTCTGCTGGAATTATGCTAATCAGTGGGTTGAGCGGGTTATATTACATAAACATTTAAGTTGTACACACAGAAGCTATTTTCACAGAATTAAAAGAACTACACTAGCCGGGCGCAGTGGCTCACGCCTGTAACACCAGCACTTTGGGAGGCCGTGGTAGGCAGATCACGAGGTCAGCAGTGGGAGACCAGCCTGACCAACATGGTGATGAAATCCTGTCTCTACTAAAAATACGAAAATCAGCCAGGCGTGTTGGTGGGCGACTGTAATCCCATCTACTCAGGAGGTGAGGCAGGGAAATAGCTTGAATTCGGGAGGCAGAGGTTGCCATGAGCCGAGATCGTGCCATTACACTCCAGCCAGGGCTACTGAGAGAGACTCCGTCTCAAAAACAAACAAACAAAACAACAACAAAAAAACCCACTCCAAAACTAATAGTACCTTACTGCCATGCAGCAGGACTCTTCAGGCATGTAATGCTACTAAAGCCAGCTGATATTACAAAGTCCTGTCCTGTTGTGTGGAGTTAGAAAGAACTGTCTAGCTGTGGTATTTAGGTCCAGTTTACTCAGTTATCTTAACTTCAGTTTCCTTTCAATAAAACAAAATGAAGATACTATTTATATGTTAGTTACAAAGGAAGAGGAAAGACATATGGCATATATGCGTATGAATGTATGCTCTTTTGATATACAGCACAGTGTTGAGCAGCCTGAAAGGAAAAAACAAAACAAAACAAAACAAAAACTCAACAAAATTCAATAAACTTTAAATTACATTTTCCCAATTCCTTTCTTATGAAGACGATCAATTTGCATATCAACATTGTACAATGCACTCCTTTGAAAATGAACTTTATGAGCCTCAAAATGTGCAGCCTTATCGTTTTTTATTTGAAGAAATATTTATTAAAAAGAATTTTCCTTTAATTATGCTACAATAATAATTGAAAAAATATATAGATCTTAAAATTCAATTACCAATATATGCAATTTTTATACTGGAGAGAGGATGGCAAAGGCTGACCTCAAAAATGCAGTTAATTAAATAATCAGTTATCAATGATCCTGCAAATTGAAAACACTCACAAATGGGCAAGATAGCTTGTAAATCCATTAAGATATTTTAAATCAGAAATCAGTCATTTTCTTTGTAGTTTGACTACTGCAGTACTTTCAAAAAAGTCCCTTTAATAGACAATTTCCTCATTAAGCATTGACCAAAAAGTTATTTAAATAAGTCAGAACATAATAACCATAATATAGTTATTATCCAGTCATTTATGGAGAGCAGTATCTAACTTATCCAGTATAAGAGTGTTAAAGAAATATCATTTTATTTATTTAAATATTAGTTAATGACTATATTATGTATTAGAAAAATATAATCTAAGTTCTCCATCTAAAATATGATAATGCAGCATCAATCTTTAAAAAAATGCTTTTTTTGTTAGTTATTTGGATACAAAAATTAAAATTAAGACAATAATTAATGTATGGAAAAGTAATATTTTCTGTTCCTTTAAAGAACAGAACTTTATAAAACTAATAATAAATATTTCGAATTTTCCTAAGAAATTGCAGATTCAACCACTGATATACTCCATAAAATTCCAAATGTATTATATAATTTCAGGGTTTCAATTAATCAAAATGTAAATATGGAGAAAGAAAAATATTTTCTATGGTGACCTTATGCTCAAAGGGCTTATTCATCCCCCAAATAACTTGGCCTTAAGATACTGTTATTCTTTACTATATCACACCTAACAAATGAATGGAATGGTATAAAATGCAGTCCTGTAATAATTACAGTTCTAAACTGCTGAATAATGCTAATAGTTACTACCATCAGCACCTTTGCCTAAGAAAGTCCACCCCTGAGGGCATTCTACCCTTATTTTAACCTTGGAAATAAAATACTATTTTAGATCAGCATTAAGCCTCTTTAATGTTGACTGTCTTCTCTTGGAACTTATTCTGTATTTCTTCACCAAAACTATTGGTATAACAAAGGTCAGTCAAAAGTTTATTAATAGAAATAGTAATTTTTATCATTTAATTCTATCAAAATATTATCAGCATGTCTTTTTTATTTTCATGTGATCTAATTGTTCTATAACTTTTAAAGTTCCCATATGTTTCTGGTTATGTTAATATTGATTGTATATACCCATCAGCAAGGGATCATAGTTTACATGCAAAATAAAATCCGGTTTCTTATTTTTTAAATTGGCTTTAAGAAAAATTGAGTTAAATCTCTCTCTCTGAATATATATATGCATACACACACACACACACACACACACACACACACACACACACACAGACGTATATGTACAAACACACATGCCCATACATATATATAACCAAAATAAATTAAATTTGGTCACCATAGGGATTTACTGCAGTCATAATCCAGGCAGCTGTATATACAGTGTACACGTTTACATTTCTATTAATTATTATTCTCAGCATGTATTAAGGGCTAAATGATTTTTTGTATAGCAGTTCTTGAAGTCCTGCAAATTTTCCAAATGAAAAAATAAAGACCATATATTTAGTTGATTAAATTATATATCTGTATTGAACTGGGAAAGCCAAAGCAAATATTGATCTTCATAAAATCAGAAAGTTAACTCCTTGATAATGAAAATGATGTTTTCAAAA
Source organism: Homo sapiens (assembly GCF_000001405.40). NCBI lineage: Eukaryota > Metazoa > Chordata > Mammalia > Primates > Hominidae > Homo > Homo sapiens. The sequence goes on along the minus strand of NC_000006.12, from coordinate 92,552,736 downwards.
AATTTTGGTATAAGGCTGAACAAAAGAGAAAGACAAACTTTAAATAGAAACATAATATCAAAAATCACAATAAAACATTAAGAGAGGAGATAAAGAGAATGAGAAGAAAATATAATTGCATTTTAAAATAATTTCTTTTTTAGGGAAATTATCTCATTTTAAAAGTGGAATATTTCCTATAAGAAATATTTCTAAAGCAAACAAAGTACTGTTTCTTAGGATTTTACATTACATTTTAATTTTTGTTTCGTAAGTGCTATATGTCAAATTCATTAGAAAATGTCACATCCACGAAATCCTTGAGTTTTAAATATTAACATTTAAATACTGTGTATCTTAACAACAACCCTGTATTTGTAGAATGTGTATAATGAAGCTCTATATCTTTTCTCACTATATCTCCTTTACACTTAAATAACTGGTTAAGCCGTCCTCATCCTTCCTCAGCTACTTGGCAGATCCTCCTAGTGTGCTTCAGCTCTCCCTTCCCTCATTTCCTCTCCCCACACCACCACAGTTTCCATGGCACCATGGTACATAGGTGCCTAAAATGTTATAGGTTCTCAAGGAATATTTGCTGAATGTGTGAAGGGATTGCTACCAATTTCCTTTTGTATATCAACACAAAATTAACTCCTGATGGCAGAGACCATATCTTGTCCATTTTCACATTCCCAGTATTTAGTAAAATGCCAGTCACTTAGTGGTAGACTGAATATTTGTTGAAGAAATGTGCATTTCAATATATTTAAGAAATACTAATATGCCAGCAGCATATTACATATTCTGTATGCATTATCTAATTTAACCACAATTTTATAGATGATAATACCTAGAACTAATAAATTCGGTGATTTGCAAAAGGCACAAAACTACTGTCCTAATTCAGAGTTCATTGTTTTTACCTGTAAGCTACATTGTAGTTAAGATATCCTCATTTATAAATTAATAGTATCATTAAATATATACTCTTTACTCCAAAATTTTGAAAACTAGCTTATATTTCAAAAATTCATAAATATCTTATAATATTGTGAAGAAGCCAGGAGCTGATTAAATTTTCTCAATACTATCATTACTTATTTTCTTTTAAATAATTTTATTAATATTTAAGAAAAGTAAGAATTGTGATCATTAAAAAAAGTTATTATGGATTGACCTTCATTGAAATTTTATTTTTGCTTGAGCTCTGCTAAAAAATGAGCAAATCACCTAAATAATAAAAAGAGTGGCCATGCTTCCAAATATCCATATAGCCACTCATCTCAAACTTAAATATTTTAATTGGTCATGAACTCTTTAGGATTAAACATAGATTTTAAAAACTTATAAACAAACTTTTGCATTGATTCTTGCTTATTATTATATCTAAACACTAATAAAAACTGTTTTTTTTTTCTAGCAACTGCCTGTATTGTTTTATCTAATTCTAGCTTTTTGCAATGGAAGTATAAAATTATAAAACACAGACCTGTTAGTAATGATGAAAATAGTCTTAAGGGAGACATGTATAGTATAAAGATTAATTTATGATTTGTAATCACACAGAAAATTGGTATTGCTAACAAACCTCACAAAGTCTTGGTTTTTGTTTTACCAAACAGGATTGTACCTTTTGTCAATTTAGCAAACTTAGATATTTTAATTATCTATTCCTTTAAAGATTTCTGAAGAAGTTAAATAAAGTATTCACATGTGGACTTCAGTACATATGCAGTTTTATACTTTGTTATTTATTATTTCAAAATTAAAGCCTTTAGTCTTAATAAGATAGGCTGGCTGTTTTTATTATGAAATTCCCTTTTGCTATGAAACACCAAAAATGTAGAAAGTATGGTTTTTAATTTAAGTTTTAAAATTATTTTATTAATTGAAAAAATTCTTAATTTGTTTATGGGAAATGATTGTTTATGTTTTTATGTTCAAGTAATACATATTTTAAACAAATATGCTTAAAATATGTGAAGAGAACTTCACACATACCATGATGTTTCATGCTGTTATTTTTTGGCTTGTGTTATTTCCTGTGGCAGGATGGCCCTTTTCCTTGTTTCTGCTCTTACCCTGGGCATTGTCCAGCGAATTTTAGGATATTTTGATTGAGAATGAAAAAGTCCTGCTCAATTAATATGTGCAAAAATCTTGATCATTTGCTTCAGGAGATATTTTCTCCATTCTATGTGTACTTCTTAGAAACAAATCCACCCATAGTCCACCATAGGCCTCTGCTCCATGCTAGACCGTAATATTATTTTCCCAAAGAATTAGGAATACACAGAGCTTCATTAGAGATACTTGGAAGCTTGAAGGTCACAGTGTACTTAAAGCCACACTGTAGGGACAGCCATAATGGACCAACCATGAATGATAAGGTGGTGAGACTTATGTGCTAAAACATTACCATTGTGAGTGAAGACTAATTTTTACTAACTTCCTACTTGAAGTCAAACAAAAGATGAAATGTTTTATTCTCATAGGATATCATCAGTATCTTTGTATATCTGTCTAACCATTTCATGTCTATATTGTGTGATGACCACACTATCTCTTTCTGGTTCAATGCTCAATAAACTCTTCTTTTCATGCCCAGATGTTCCTTCTCTGGCCTTTATCCTCAAACTGAGTCAAGTAAATTTTCCTATATCTATTTTTTTAAAAAAATTAAACACCAACTGAACTCTTCATCTATCTGTTTGCTTTCTTTCCACTCACTTGCACATGTCAATTCTTATATAGGCAATGCCATTTGCTCTTTCACTGCCAAAACATAGCTCAAAGCTTTCATCACAAATATTTGATGATTGACCCAATTATGAGCAATATCTGACAATCTGTGGGCATATGAGAGTATGTTAGGGAATAAGAAGAGTGACAAGAAAGGAGAGAGAGAAATTGGGCATGTTATATCCGAATTCATTAATCTTTATTTCAACCTAAGTCTGTAATCTTTGCGATATGTACCAGTGAATAAATCACACAGATCTTAAATTAAATTAAGGACTAACACCATGAAGTAAAATTAAGGTTGAGAAAAATAATTTTAAAAACATGAAAAATCATAGAAAGCTTGGATATTAAATAAGTACTACCTTGGGAAAATATTAAGGTTTAGATGTAAATTTATTTTTTATACCTCCCTCTCCCAGAAAACATTGTTACAAAAGATATCTTTTCCATAAACACTGGTTGACTGAATGAATGGATGGATGAATCAACTAGAGCTAAGTATAAATTAATCTTATAACTGAAATTAATGACAAGTCACCTCAATTTGGGCTAAAAGCATGAACAAGAATTCCTTTTAATAGTGACTACTCACTGTGTATAAAATAAAAGAATTCAATGCCTTAACTTGGCATACAAACTTCCTGTACTATGAATCCAATTTTATGTAAATCTTTTCGTAATTCTTTCTTAGTATTCAAGTCAGCTTCCTCTCACTTAGGTATGTTTTGTGTTATTCAGCCTTTAAACTTACACTCATTCTGATTGCTCTCCTTCCATCCTTCTTTGACTCCTATTCATTATTTTTAAGAAGCTTTAAATTATGTGGAGTTTGTGTATGCATGCACGTGTGCTTGTGTATTTATGTATGTGTGTGTATATGTATATATACATATCTATAAATCAAGGCTAAGGCATATTAGTATGGTGTACTTGGGAGGAATCAATAGTCAGTAAGCAGTTGATGCCTATATAAGAGAAGGGAGCATCTGATGGAGGATGATTTTTGAGGATTTTAGTAAAAATGGATTCAAAAGCATAAGAGATGTAATTAACTTTGAAGGTTAGAAATATTTCATTCAACTGAAACTAATGGGCATTGATGGGGATTGGGAAAGATATGGAAAGCATTCATTTGGGAATACAATTTTTACTATATTAACTTTGAGAAATTAAATTTTTGTTTTTTTTCATAAGGTACAAGGGAATGGATCTCCATAGAATGAGTAAGCATGGGCTTGGATATTATGTTGCCATTGAAAATATCTTGGAAATATGTATTAGTCCATTTTCATGCTGCTGATAAAAAGACTGGGAAAAAAATAGAGTTTTAACTGGACTTATAGTTCCATATGGCTGGAGAGGCCTTAGAATCATGGTGGGAGGTGAAAGGCACTTCTTACATGATGGTGGCAAGAGAAACTGAGGAGGATGCAAAAGCGGAAACCCCTGTTAAAACCGTCAGATCTCATGAGACTTATTCACTACCATGAGAACAGTATGAGGGAAACCACTTCATGATTCAAATTATCTTCCACCGGGTTCCTCCACAACACGTGGAAATTATGGGAGTACAATTCAAGATGCAATATGGGTGAGGACACAGCCAAACCATAGCATTCCACCCCGGCCCCTCCAAATCTCAATCCTCACATTTCAAAACCAATCATGCATTCCCAACAGTCCCCCAAGGTCTTAACTGATTTCAGCATTAATCCAAAAGTCCACAATCCAAAGTTTCATCTGAGACAAGGCAAGTCCTTTCTACCTATGACCCTGTAAAATCAAAAGCAAGCTAATTACTTCCTAGACACAATGGGGGTACAGATATTGGGTAAATACAACTGTTCCAAATGGGAGAAATTGGCCAAAACAAATGGGTTACAGGGCCCATGCTAGTCTGAAATCCAGCGGGGCAGTCAAATTTTAAAGCACCAAAATGATCTCCTTTGACTCCAGGTCTCACATCCAAGACACGCTGATCCAAGAGGCGAGTTCTCATGGTCTTGGGCAACTCTGCCCTTGTGCCTTTGCAGGGTACAGTCTCCCCACAAGCTGCTTTCACAGTGTGGCATTGAGTGCAGCTTTTCCAGCTCAACGAAGCGAGCTGTTGGTGGATCTACCATTCTGGAGTCTGGAGGATGGTGGCCCTCTTCTCACAGCTCCACTAGGCAGTGCCCCAGTAGGGACTCTGTGTCGGGGCACCAACTCCACATTTCCCTTCCACACTGCCCTAGCAGAGGTTCTCCATGATCGCCTTACCCCTGCAGCAAACTTCTGCCTGGGCATCCAGGCATTTTCATACATCTTCTGAAATATAGATGGAGGTTCCCAAACCCCAATTCTTGACTTCTGTGCACTCTCAGGCTCAACACCACATGAAAGCTGCCAAGGCTTTGGGCTTGCACACTCTGAAGCCATAGCAGGAGCTCTACATTGGCCCCTTTCAGCCACGGCCGGAGCAGCTGGGACACATGGTGCTAAGTCCCTAGGCTGCACACAGTACAGGGACCCTAGGCCAGGCCCACAAAACCATTTTCTCCTAGGTCTTGGAGACTGTCATGGCAGGGGCTGCCATGAAGACCTCTGACGTGCCCTGGAGACATTTTCCCCATTGTCTTGGGGATTAACATTTGGCTCCTCATTACTTATGCAAATTTCTGCAGCTGGCTTGAATTTCTCCTCAGAAAATGGGTTTTCTTTTTCTATCACATTGTCAGACTGCAAATTTTCCAAACTTTTATGCTCTGCTTCCCTTATAAAATGGAATGCCTTTAACAGCACCCAGGTCACTTCTTGAATACTTTGCTGCTTAGAAATTTCTTCCGCCAGATACCCTAAATCTCTCTCTCAAGTTCAAAGTTCCACAAATCTCTAGGGCAGAAGTAAAATGCCACCAGTCTCTTTGCTAAAACATAACAAGTTACCTTTGCTCTGCTCTTACGTTTTTTATTCTCATTGTTATCTAGCCTCTCAACACTTCTTGAGTGAAGTTACCTCTGCCTTTATTATTGCTACCAACCTAGCTGGGCGTGGTGGCTCATGCCTGTAATCCCAGTACTTTGGGAGGCTGAGGCAGGCAGATCACGAGGTCAGAAGTTTGAGACCAGCCTCACTAACATGGTGAAATCCCACCTCTACTAAAAAGACAAAAATTAAACGGGCATGGTGGCATGCATCTGTAATCCCAGCTACTCAGGAGGCTGAAGCAGGAGTATTGCTTGAACCTGGGAGATGGAAGTTGCAGTGAGCCGAGATCACACCACTGCGCTCCAGCCTGGGCAACAAGAGCAAAACTCCATCTCAAACAAACAAACAAAAAATTATTGCTGCCAACCTCTAATTCATCATCCTCTCATTTTTTATATCAAGCTCGTATCTAGGTCCTGTATCAAACATTCTGTATTTGTAAGAACTATTCTGAATACAACTGTTGAGAGAATACACTTTTGACCCCAATACATATGTTTTTATAACAATCACCTCCATTTGAGTTTGTGTTCTTTAAAGATTATTTGATTTTAATCTCATATGCTCAGCATGAAGCCATCAAAATAATTGTTAAACAACAAAAAGTGCATATTTCAGGTCTAATGTAGAGGAATGCTTATCTAGACACACATTCTATAAAGCACAGTGCCTAGCATAGAGTTCAATAATCATTTGTTGAATTAATAAATATGCCACACTAAATAAGTTGCAGAAGAATATTACAAGTATAAATAGTGGGCTTCATTAATGCTCAAATCCCGTAACTTTAGAGTCATGTTGGGTCCATTTTAAATCTCTAATTTCTACTTCCAGGATAGGCTATACTTTTAAAAGTATAGTAGAGAGGAGACTGTTTTGCTTCCACAAACACCATCTGCCTCCGTTTTCCTTTTCCTCTCTAAAGGCATTTCCTTCTGTTATTGCCCTTGGCAAACTGGCTGTTCTTTTCTTTTAAATTAGTCCTAACTTTAACTGCTGGATGTAAAGGATTCCACATGGGTGACTGTGAAGCTGCTGGGCTCTTTTTGTTTGTCATCACTGTATATCTAGATTGGTGTACATCACACTTAAAAGAGTCAATTCCCAGCAGCTCCCATTGGCATCACTGGCCTCATTGAGATCTTTTGTGACTTTTTAGCTGCCTTCCAGGTGACAGCATTCTCCTTCTCCTGATGTCCAAATACATTCCCTCCATACTTTATTGATGCCAACCAAACCTGCAGTTTATATTTTCATTGAACTTTTGGGAACAAAAAACCTGAGACAGTTATCCTGACTCCTTCTTCTGGGACTTACCACTACTTACTCTCAATTCTTGAAGCACACACATACAAAAACAAAAATTAAATTGTCTGAAGAAAAAGGGAAGTGACTACTTTGAGATTTTTTTTCTAAAAATCCTCTCATCATTCATATAATGAACAATAATCTGTTAGTTGTATATTATATAAGACAGTATGCCATACATTTAATAGTGCTAAGATTTATTCTTTTAGGGTTTAGGGCTATGTAGACAGATGTCAGACAAAAAAGCTTGACTTTGTGAACTTCTCCTTTTTAATGTTTAATTCCATCCCTATTTTAAAGGAAATTTAATTTAAGAGAATTATATCCATATGATTCTAGTTCATTCGTATTTAACTGATCAATGTGTTGTTTTACAAGGCCTGTTTGATGTCAAGAAAGTAAAGTGAGTCCCTTTTTCCCCTAGGCTTTTGAAATGCATTTTTCCGTTGGAAGTATTTGGCAGTTTATAAATCCCAACAACCAAAGACCAAACTTTGGTTTAAAATTCAGAGCATTAAAACATGAAACAACATCCAAAAGGGCACTAAATTTCAATTGAGAAAATAGCCTTTAACATAATGATTTTTATGTCTTTCAGTTTAATTTTTAATTACAAAACCAATTTATTAAGCAAAAGAAACATCTTAGTGAGAGTTGCAGGAAAGACAGCTTCATGATAGTAGAAAAAGAAGAGTGATAAATAATTCATTAGATAAGAGAACATTGAAAAGTCAGTGTCTTTGCCTTGTTTGTCTCCTTCCATGAAGAGGAAACATGTTATATTGAGAAAAACATGGACTTTTAAGGCAGACCCTGATTATGCTACTCTAATTTAATAGACGCATTAATTCAGAAACGCTGCAACCATTGTTTCATCACTTTAAAAAATGCGGATAATATTGCTAATCTCTAAATGACTCGATATGAGTTCATGCCTTTTTCTCCACCTATCTTTCCCTCTGGACCTGAGGTGGATCTGATACTGACCTTTAATTTTGTAGCCTTAGACTTCTTCCCAATATTCCTGTCTTTTGAGAAACACTTGTTAGAATGTCTTTTTCACTTTTCCTTTTGGGGAAGAGAGTAAGGACTTTGCCAAAATTACCTACACATTTTTGTTTTGTAATTAGACTATCAGTCTTGAAGCTGATTATGGTTTCTTCACTGATTTTGGTACTACGATGCTTATTGGTAAATTTCAACACAGCCATTAACAGGTCTAAAGAAAAAATATAATCTATATTTCTATGTATTGTCTTTTTAACCTTAGTCTTTATTTCTTTGTCACTTTGATTTCCTTAAAAATTTATCCTTGTTTTGAATCAGACATATTTTGTAAGGTTCTTTGGATCAGTCAGGGTAAAAATACATTTATAAATGAGTGCACACACACATACACACACACACACAAACGAACATCTAAACAGTTCTGAGGCTAGACCTATACAGTGCAAAGGGGGCTAAAAACTACATGGAGAAGTCAGACTGTAATAAAGCAAGAGCAGAAAATCTGGAAAAAAAAAAAAAAAGAAGTGATCAGGACCATGTTTATTTTGAAAGCTAGTATCAACTTCTCCTGCCCATGATTTGCCAAAGTGTTCTCTTATCTGTACCTTAAAATGTGGCTTTAAAAAATATAGCCACTTTGGCATGTTTTTAGAGTCACTTACAAAATTCTAAATTCAGACAGTTCAAGTATATAAGCAATCAGTCAGCACTACACAGGGAGTCTAGACAGGTTCCTTGGGAAACAAAATCTGAGATGCCACTTGTTACAATTCTGTGTGGGTAGGGGTAGGAAGAAAAAGCAGCTCTCTCTCTTCTCAAGACTCCATTTGTTCTTGTATTTTTTTTCTTGACTTCATTTACATTATCTAATAGATAGGAAGTAGAGAATAAATGTTCACTGGATGAAAGAAAAATCTGTACTAATGAGAATATTCTGATCACGAGTATGGCTATGGTTCTAATAATCTAGGACTCAGGAAAATAAAAGAAGAAAATTTTATTTATTTGTCAATATTCTAGTCCTGAACCTGAAGCTCAGTGCAAGAAAGAGATACAGGATTTGAGAACAGATCAAAGTTAGGGATTGTGGAACAGAGTAGAGCGAGAAAGTAGTCACTTTATTTCATTCTACACTTCTTGAATGTACTTTGTCATTTATGTACTTTTCCCAAACCATCTATTGCATTCTAGCAGATTTTTCAGTATCTTCAACTTCTTCAACTACTTTCCTTATTCTTATTCCCTCCCACTATCACTTAACCCTCTTGGCTCCTCAGTGACCGTACTACTGGTGTTAATACGTGTCTGGAATATAGAAAGGGTTCATTTAAGTGCACAATTATGCCATTCACAACTGTTGTTATATACTAGAACATAGCTTAAGCTTAGAATATGCAAATGCAGTAGAACCTCTCTTAAGCAAATTTCATTTAAACAACATGCCAGATTAATCTCATTTTCTAATTTCAAATATACTAACCAGTCAGGTGTGGTGGCATGCTCCTGTAGTCCCAGCTACTAGGGAGGCTGAGGCAGGAGGATCACTTGAGGCCAGGAGGTTGTGGCTTAAGTGAGCTGAGATTGCACCACTGTACTCTAGCACAGTTGACAGAGTGACATCCTGTCTCAAAAAGAAAAAAAAAGTTAGATTGCACCACTGTACTCCAACCTGGTAGACAGTGTGACATCCTGTCTCAAAAAATAAATAAATAAATAAAAATAAATAAAACTAACCACTGCCAACAATGTAATTAGCAGGCAGCTGATTCATATAGCCTCACATTTCTCTTAGCCATGAAGTTGCTTTTTCCAGAAGTATTTGTTATTGTAATTAGGATATAAATAAACTAATAAAACGTAAGTATGAGTAAAAGTTTATTTTAATTAGTTTTAATGATTTGGGAAAAACTCAAAACCAAGCCATTAAGCAAACAAACAAACAAACAAAAACCAAACCAAACCAAAACCCAAAAACACTGTTGAATTAAGTGTGGATAAGAGAAGTAAGAACTGCTTTAAGACTGCATCATCTGTTTTTTTTTTTTTAAAGTCCCATTTTAACCAATTTTTTTGCTTTACTGACCAACCACTGGTCCCAATTGTGCTGGTTAAGCGATATGCTCTAACTGTTTGGTGATGAAATGAAAATAATTGATTCAATCCATTCATCCAAAACAATAGAACAGACGTTCAACAAGCAGTCGATTGTATCAAAGCACATTTGCTCTCTTTCCAGCCTTAAGACAGTGTCTGATTAGGCACAGTTTAACTGTACTTAGCCATGCATTTCTGAAGCCATAAAACATAAGTGTTCTGCATAAATATTACTCTCCTCAAGAGACATTTTTTATATAAAATATTTTTGAAATTTTGGTTGGATTTCACAGTGTTTTCTTTTTGGCCTCAAAATAACTAACTGTTTTACACTCTCTTTACCTCCCAAACAGTGTGACCTGTTTTGATTTTCTTTTCTTTCTTTCTTTCTTTCTTTTTTTTTTCGTCAAAGGCATTCTTATAATATATACTTGAAATCCACGGGTTCTTGGAATCTTTCTTCCATCAGAAAATTACATTTGTGCATAGTTGCATTCCTTGTGTTCAAGCTCCTCATATAATGCCATTCACATCTTTCTGTTCTTTTTTACCCCACTTCTTGTTAAGTTCTTGGTTCCCTGTGCAATATAATGTATGGATATAAAGATGCTAGAAGTATGTCCAGAAACAACCCAACAAAGTAAATGCTTATGAGATAAAGGGACAGAAAACTCCATCTAATTTTTACCCCTATGCCTTTGATTATGTTCTTTCTGCTTGTATGAACTGGTTCAGCCCTATTAATAGCAAGCTTCATACCCATGGATCCTGCATAATGACTCCTCCAAATGACACAGTTTTTATATTTGGCTCTCAGCACATATTTTCAGCTCCACCTCTTGTTGGCTTTCTCAGCTCTGCTTTTTGTTTTATCATTGTTTGTAAATCCATTCACTATTAATATTTTTTATCTCATCCCAGTCCAACAAGATTTAAAGTTTAGCTTGTATTTGTGGCTGATAGGCTGACCTCATCACTGAATCATTTAAGTTCTGCTCTGCTTACTGCTGCATAGCGACAGGTTAGCTCCATCACTTTCACTTTTTCAGCTCTACTTCTAGAATCCCAGCCTGGGATATTTTATTTATTCTGCTTTACCAAGGCATCTATTAAGAAAGAGTTCCTGGGGGGAAAAATGGCACTAAGAGTAAACTTGAAGAAAGAATAAAAGTCAAACATGATGTTTAGGGAAAAGAGTTCTATATCTCTTTCCAAGGTATATTATTAGTGGACTTTTATGAGAATCCTGGTCTGTCCTTTTAACATTCAAATTCTCCTCTTTCTCTCCATTCTGTTTCTCTGTGATTACATCTATTTCCATGGCTTTGCCATACACAAGATGAGGACTCTCCTCTGAGTTATAAATTTTTATTTCAGATTCCTCTGTGACATCTTCATTTAGATGTCTCATAAATCTCACACTTAATACAACCCAAATTGAACTTTCCCCTAAAGATTATTGTTCACTGATGTCTTACCTTTCTCAATAAAGGGCATGACTCTCTACACCATTGTTTAGGTCCCAACCCTAGGAGTCATTTTTGACCATTGCCATTCAAGCCAATGTACCATTAAATACTATAAATTAGGTCTCCACGATGCACATCAAATCTATCCTCTTTTTTCTAATCCACTGTCATATTTTATATTCTTCATAGAAGTTATCCTTATGAGAAACATATATGTTTTTTAATTTTGTTACATTTTTCTCAGCTAGAATGCAAACTCCTGAAGAGCAAGTCTTCTATCTCTGCTGTTTATTTTCAAATCGTAAGTGCTTAATAAAAGACTGCACATACAGTAAGTGCTCATAAATAATTACTGACTCTTTGGTCATGCCATCCAGATCAAAGTTGCCACCATCATCCCCTGGATTGACCACTCTATATTCCTAGCCTCATAATCTTCAAACCCGTTCTTCATGCAACAGGCAAAACAAAATTTTCAGTGCTAATAGCATATCTAACAGGAACATTTACTGTTGCTTTAGTAAAAACACAATGGCCTAGAACCAGGGGCCACAAACTAACAACCAACTGAACAAATAAACAAAAAAAAAAACAGGCATTACAGGCTACAGAGTGCCCAGCAAATGAGTCTACTTAGCTAAGAGCTTATGAATCACTGGTAGTACTGTCATTACCAAAATCATTTCCTCCACCTTCTTTATCAAGGTTTTCAAGTCAAGAGTTATTGACCTAACATGAATTGCAGGGACATTTTCCTGCCATGGAAAAAAAGGCGGCAGGGGGAGATATGATCCCAGGACCACGAAGCCAAGTTGGCTGGTGTCCCACACAAGATGTTGTACTGTTTAAGGGGCTTTAGGAAGTATAAGTGAGAATGGGAGTTTGGGAGTCTGAGAGGTGGGATGGAAGACTTAAACAGGAAGTGGATCTCTCATGTGTCTGCATATTGCAGTGGACAAGCTCTGCAGAGTCCCTTGAAGAATTCACAACTTCTCTGAAAAGGTCAGCATTTGAAATCTTGCCTCAAGAGGCCACCAAGGGCCATCAATATTGGTCAATGAGGCAGTGAAAAATTCGGATTAGTCAATTAAAAATAAAATCCAATTATTTCACGCTGTTGCTTAAAATGCTACTGCTACCATGACTTTCTGTTTCTTTTAGCAACACTCAAATTCCAGACTAGGCAGGCAACACTGGGTCACAAGAAGCCCTACTGATTTGTATATACAGCCTCAGCGCTCTGCCCTCCAGCCAGATTGGGCTTCTAATTCCCAATTACAGTACATTTTTTTTTAAGCTCATTGGGATTTGTCATACTTTTCTACTATCTGGATTGCCCTTTCTTGAACCTTTTCCTGGCTTGTTCTCCCAGGATTTAGCTTAGATGGGACATTCTGAGATGATTTATGGGATACTGTCTTTTCCAACTGGCACCTTCATCTGTTTTCCTGTTGGACTTTCCTTGCATTCCCATTTCCTAGTTTTATATATATATATGTATATAAAATCTATACTGAGCTATACATATATTGTGCTATACTGTGATATAGATATATACTGTGATATATATATAGATATATAGTGATATATATGTAATGATGTATATCACTATATCTATATGTATATCACTATATATCTATATCACAGTATATCATATATATATCACAGTATATATATCACAGTATAGCACTATATATGTATATGTAGTGATATATATCACATGTATATCATTATATATATCACAGCATATATATATATCAGTATAGCACAATATATGTATAGCACAGTATAGATTCAGTAACTAGGCAATAAATGAAAGACTTACACACTTGCCACTGTGAAAGAAAAATTATCCTGAAGTTCATTTGTCATATAACTTTGTAACAGAATCTAATTTGCAAACCTCTTTCTTGGAAGAAATTAGCATTTCTGATGAAATATTTGATTTTATGGTGGAGCTAAATGATGTTATGACCTAATAGGAAATTAATGACTCACCCATCCAGCTGACTCTCAACTGACAAGGATCTTTTACCTTATTTTTTTTTCTTGTCTCCAGCCTATCATTATCTAACCATCTTCTTTTCTTCCAGAATGTTCTTTCCAAGAGAGAATCTTGAAACTGCTGCATAGGCATCTCCCCTTCCAAAAAGCTGAAAAGAAACTTACATATATACAAATAATTAATTTGTCAAAAAATTGTTATTTTTTTTAAACAGTTGTGAATACCCTATGAATATGTGCTTGCCTCATGAGGACACATTCAAGTAAAGCGAGAGCTGTGCCTGAATAAGAAAAGTTACAACAAACTTCTGTTGAGATTATCTGTGTTTTCTAACATTTTTGATGCTCTAATGAATCAATGAGTTTTGCTGACATTTAGAAAAGGCAGTTAATTTTGAGGACCCTTGTTTATCAAAATGTTGTGGACGTTTTAAGAATGTTTGTCCTGTAAAATTTCAGACAATCCAAGTTACAAATTAGGATATATGGTTTTGATCAGGAAGTAAGTACTCCTCAGATTGAAAGTCTACAGAACGTGGTTTAGTATTGAGGGTTTTTAGGAGGGAAGCCAGGTGCAGTACAATAGCTTTCTGGTCACTGTTTTATGTCTGAAGAATTCCTGGATCTTTGAAGAATCACATGACTAATTATAGCTGCCTAGTGTTTTGTGCTGAGAAATTACATGATTGTTTTGAAGAATACCATGGCAGTGATTGTACTGTTACTTAGAAATGACCAAAGTCCTTAGAAAGGCTGGACTGATTGAGTAATTATATTCAGGAATGTTTTGGCTGCAGCAAGTTATTTTGTGTTTTGCCTGCAGGGTTTTGCTTGTTTATATATTTGTGTCTGTTTTTGCAATTATCTTTAGCTAATTGTATAATTGGTTCAGCAGTTTTCTGTATGCCTGCCTGTCTCTGTAAGCAGTTTTAGTCTTTTATTTTTATGGCTAGTGAAAATTTGGGGGCAGTCTTATATTCAAATGTAAGGACTGAGAGCTAGAATGAACTGGTCTAAATATCTTCAGACATTCCTTTTCATATCTATTGTAACATTTTTATTTACTATGTAAATTGTAACCATTTTTATTTACTGTGATCCTATCAAATAACATATTTATTTTCCTGGTTTAGACTTTTTTTTTCTTGTGCCAATCTTGAAATAAAATATTTAAGGTTGTCAATTATTTCCCTATGTGCCTAAAAATTATTATTGTTGATTAAAATTTCCTTTTTTTGATTTTGTTTTTGTGTATTTGTATATTTAACATTGAAATTATCTGTTTACAACTATGTCTTATCAAAGGGAATATAAGCTCCTCAAAGTTAGAGCATATAATTTATTAGTCATATTTCTCTCAAGCTTAGTAGGTACCCAGTAAATGTTTATTGAATAATTAGGTCTGCCTTTTCACAATTTTATCTAGTACATAGCACAAAGTCTGCAAGATGGTAAACAATTAGTTTTTAAATGAAGGATCTAAAATTATTTCTAGTACAATTTGTCTATATAAATGTTGTTGCTGACATATTAACATGAGCTGAAGACAATTTTCTGCATTATCTTCCTTCACTCCCTCTTCTAGCGACAGTCAACCACCCGGTGTACTTTCAAGAATCTTTATCCTGAAGTCCTAGTGTTCACACTAGTTTTCATATCAGTTCCTCATCCTGTTAGGTTATAGACTTCTTGAATGATCTCCTTTGCTTTTTGGCCTTGGCCACTGACTCAGTTCATGGTTCTATTCACCGGTCTGGCTTTGCTGCCTTAGGTGTTTTACCATCAAACTCTAAATATAAACCTTGAATCTGTGAGACTCCACTGTAGGTACGCTTATTGTATTTCTAGAGATTGGACACTAAGGGATAACAAAGGTGAGATGGGTGACCAGCAGATGACACAAAATCCAAAAAAATTTTCCGTGTAATGACAGAATGTTGGCAAATATCCAGAATATTTTACTGAGCATAGACTGTCAAAAATAAATAATCCAAACATTTCAAGTGGTTTTTAGAGTCCTAAAAGCAGAAATTTGAATTTATCTTTAAGATAAACTAAACTTCTTATGCCAAAATCACTAAACCAACCACACAGGCCTTTATTTATAAAAGTGTGATGCAATAATATTCTTTTGGAATGGAAATAGTATGGGGCTGTAGCTTCAAGGCGATAAAGTGTTCTATGTAATTACCTAAAGAGGTTGTTTTCATTAACAGCAGGCTTGCACCTCTGAAAAGCATGTCTCTCTTAGGAAAATGTTTCTCACAAACTGTCCAGTCTCTAAGAATTATTTTTGTTTTTAGGAAGTGTATACCTGCGATTGTTTCTTTGCTTCATATTGCAGTAAAACTCCTAAAAAATGATATTTATGCTTCCTGCATCTAATTCATCTCCTTTCATTTTCTCTTAAAATATTTCCACTACTTCACTGAAACTGCTCTCAGGGTCAACAAAGTCCTCTCCATGCAGCTAAAACCAGTGGTAACTTGTCATTACTCAAATTAGTTGATCTCTTAGCACCATTGATGCAGTTTATCAATCTTTACTCCTTGATAAACTTTCTTCTCTTAACTTCAAGACACCAGTCCTCTCTTCTGGTTTTATTCCTACATCCCTGGTCTCTCCTCAGTCTACCTCTTAGGCTTCCATTTCTTTCAAACCTTTAATGTTTAAAGTCTCCAGAATTCTCTTGGGTCCTTTTTTTTTAAACCTACTTTTTTTGTCTCTATTATTCCTTGATAGTCTTGTTCAGTGTCATGAGATTAAATAACTATATGTATTTTTTAATCTACTTTTTTGCCCCTATTATTCCTTGATAGTCTTGTTCAGTATCATGAGACTAAATAACTATATGTATAGCTGTAGACAGTTCCTCTAAGCTCCAGATTAATTTATCCAACTTCCTAGGCCTTCTACCCTGGCGTCTAATGGAAAATTCACAATTATTATGTCTAAAACTAAACTCCCAGATAATGACAATCATGCTTCCCGATTGCTTACACAAAAAACCTTGTGTGATCATAGAGCTCTCATTCTCTCATAATTCACATCTAATTTGTCTCAATGTTGGAAATATTCATCCACTGCTCCTACTCTGGCTTTAGACTTTGTTATTTCTTGTTGAGATTACTGCAAGAGTTTCCTAGCTCCCCTCAGGGCCTCTACCCTTATTCTCCTAGAGCCTCGTCTCAACAGAATAAGTCATTCATGAAGAAAATGTAGTTCAGATTATGCCCCTCCCCTTCTTAAAATCTGGTTTCCTATTTCACTCAGAATAAAATTCAAAGTCCTTAAAATGTTGATAAGCCCAACACAGTGTGACTCCCATTACATCTTTAAATTCATTTCCTTGTACTCTCCCTCACGTTCATTGTTACAGTTGAATTCAATTGCTTGCATATTTAAGACATATCAGGCAAGCTCTTACCTTAGGGTCTTTGCATTTTCTGTTCTTATTTCTTGAAATGCTGTCTCCAGACAGCTACTATGTTAAGCCCCTTACTTCTTTCAAATCCTTCCTCAAAAGTCATGTTCACATATGAAGCCTAGTCTGACTATCCTCTTAAAAATTATATGCTTTTCAAGCACTCCTTATATTCCTTACTCTACTCCACTCCCCTCAACTTGTCCCCCATACCACTTATTATCTTCTAATAAGCCCACCAATTTATAGATGCTACCATCAGTATTTGAGTTGGACTGTGGGTGATTATCTTTATTAATATTCTTTACTGTGAAATTCCAAGAATTAGCAAAAGTTCTCACAAAGAATGAGCACTTCATAAATATTTTTGAATGTTTCATAAATATTTTAGTAGGAATGATATCTTCAAACACATTTTCACAAAAGCCATAGCCCTAACATACAAACCCAACCTTCTATTTGAATGGAAGAAGACATTAAAAAGAATGAAACCCTGCTGGTCTTTGATGCCCTGAGTATGGTGTTATTCAAGAATGAATCAGCCAGACCTTTGGGGAGGACTGACTTTCCCCATTCATTGTATTATTTTTTTTCATATCCGTGAAGCTTAATAATTAAAAATGCATTCAAACTTGTAGATAAAAAATAATATTTACTGCAATATAAGTGGCTACTGGGTTATGAAACTAGTCATTGTTCATTACCTAAATTTTCTTATTTAAAAATTTATTTTTAATTGACAGGTAAAACATGTATATTTTTAGGGACATATTTTAGGGATATATCATCTTATTGATTGATGGAAGTAAAGTGACACCTCAAGGTAGTGGACAGAAGAGTTACCTCTGGAAATAGCAGACATTGACATTGTATGAAAAGGGATATCTTTAGAGGACATAGATGAGAACTAGATTCTGAGTGGAAGAGTCATGCTGGAAATAATTTCCATTTTCAGGTGGACAAGTCACTTCCATTAGCGGGTACATGAGTTTGAATGATGGTCATAAACTGAGAGCAAGCAAAAACCTGACCTTGATCAGACAAAGACAAGTTAGAAACCAGACATGCAGGCACTTATTAGTGGGGCCCTGTAAAGAGCTTGGATTTTTGGAATAGGACAGCAGTACTTCTAGTAAATAACTGTAAATTTATCTGTAGTGTCATCAGAATTTTAAAATATTTTAGATTGTGGATAGATTTTGTTAACTGTCTTGTTAACAAAAAGATTAAACTAAAAGTTTTTTTCTTTTACTACATATAAAATGGAGAAAAGAAGGTATGCCTACATTTGAACCAAAATATTGTAGAAGAGAGCAATTGCAGCTTGAGAAAATCTAGATTCAAGATGTTTGAGATGACATGCTGCAGAGGAGGGCACGCAGGACAGAGATCTACAGCCAGACAGCAGAGAGCCAGCTAAGAATGCAACTGTGAGCCAGGACACGTTTGTGGAACATGTTAACACTTCCTGGGGATGTCTATAGTCATTGTTAAAGAAGACTGTGATAATTTACTAAATACTCAAGCAATGATAAGGAGCTTCAGGCTTTTATAATTGGGCATTAAAAAGGATTGTGGCGATGAGATGATAACCTTGAAGAATTTTGTATTATATTTAAAATAAAAAAAAATATTGAGAACATTTTTAGGGAGAGAAGAAAGGACAAATTAGAAGGACACATTGATGTCATGAAAGGAAACTTATTTGTGCAATGGGTTGAGAACAAAAAGACAACCAAATAAACAGAGACAAATGTATTTTTGAAACTTTTCAGTGGCAAGTTATTGAAAATACAGAGTTTAGAATGTTCACAGATGAGATGTAAGGTCAATTAAAGCCTGGGAATCTCTACTCTCTGGAAGAAGGAGGTAATGTTAACAGAAGAGAGACAAGGTGGTTCACAGAAAATTAAGAGAACTATTAACATTTTAAAGAAATACCTTAGAATTATAAAACAAAAGAAAGATATCAGTATGAGGTTTCAAAACAAACCTTCTCAAGACACATTAGTGAGAGTTCATTACTTTAATACATTAAAATAAGTATTTTCAGGTGTGTGTATGTGTATGCGTGTTTGTGTATTTGTAGCTGTTTGGTAACAGAAGATTGGTCTTAAAACTTTACCAATAGGCTGCATAATTTATGTTCATGCAATTCACCTATCTCAGCACTTATCACAGGGACTATATTTAATTATTTTATATGAATGATTTTATACTATGCATAGCAAATGTTTGTAAAAGAGGAAATATGTATAACATTTGGCAAGACATAATTATCCCCTAGATTTTTATGACTTAGTCTTTTGCTTACAAAATTCCATAAGTAGACCAGAGGCATATTAATGTTAATATCACTACCTTTCTAAAGATAGAAGAAATAAAAATAAATATACTGTAAGTAATCCTCAGGATTCTGCATAATCCCTAGGTGTGGGGAGGTTAGAGTGACTTGTGACATTGAAGATAACATTTCTGGGCCGATGTGAGCAATCCTGTCTTTTTAATTGAATTTTCTGGCGTCACATTTGGTTTCAAAATGTGTTTTAAAGAATGACAACCATAGTACAGAAAAAGAACAATGCAAACTCATAAGAAATCTGAACATAAAATTCTAGTAAAAATTAATGTTATGTAATATTCTTTTAATTAAAATACGCATGCTAATTTGATACTTCATTTTACTAAAATAAAAAAACTATTTTATGTGTTTGATTTCTTTTTTAATTATTTTAATTTCAGTTTTAAATGGACATATAATTATGCATATGTATCAATGTGATATTTCAATGCATATATACATTGTGATACGATTGAATTGGTGTAAGTAGCATATCTATCATCTCAAATATTCGTCATTTCTTCATGATGGGAACATACAAAATCCTCTCTTCTAGTTATTTTGAGATATACAGCATACTCTTGTTGACTATAATCACTCTAATGTGCGATAGGACAACAGAACTTATTATTCCTTTGTACTTGTAACTTTGTACACATTGGCCATGCTCTCCCCATCCCTCCACTCCTCTTGCCCGGTCTCTGGAAAGGTAAGAGCTGTTTTATTTATGACTTTAATATTCTTAGATTCCCTATATGAGGGAGAACATGCTGTATTTGTCTTTCTGTGTCTGGCTTATTTCACTTAACATAATATCCTCCAACTTCATCCATATTGTCACAAATGACAGAATTTCATTCTTTTTAATGTTAAATAGCATTCTACTGTGTATATATACCACGTTTTCTTCATCCATTTATCCATTGTTGGACACTTAAGTTGATTCTATTAATATCTTGGCTATTATGAATAGTACTACAATGGTCCTGGGAGTACAGATATCCCTTCTACATACTGATTTCATTTTCTTCAGATATATACTCCGCAGTGGGATTGTTGGATCAGATGGTAGTTCTTGTTTCAATTTTTTGAGGAATGTACTAATTTACATTCCCACCACCTGTGGACAAGGGAACCCTTTGCTCCACATCCTTTCCAACATTTATTTATTATTTGTCTTTTTTGTAATAGCCATTCTAACTGGAATGAAGTGATATTTTATTGTTTTTATTTGCATTTCCCTAATGATTAGTTAGGCTGAATTTTTTTTCTGCGTGTCTGTTGGCCATTTGTATGTGTTCTTTTAGAAATGTTTATTTTTTTGCCCATTTTTAATCGGATTGTTATTATTATTTGCTATTGAATTGTTTGAGTTTCTTATACGTTCTGGATATTAACCGTTTGCCAGATATGTAGTTTGCAAATATTTTATCTCATTCTATAATTTGTATCCTTACTCTGTTGGTTGTTTCTTTTGATGTCCAGTAGCTTTTTTAGATTGATACAGTCCCAGGTGTCTACTTTTGCTTTTGTTGCCTGTGCTTTTAAAGTCTTGTCCAAAAAAATCCCTGTCCAATCCCTGTCCAATGTCAAAAGTATTTCCTCTATTTTCTTTAATAGTTTAATGTCTTAAGACATTAAACATAAATTAACTATAAATAGACATTAACTATAAATAGTTTGTTTAATAGTTTAATGTCTTATATTTAACTCTTGAAGCCATTTTGAGCTGATTTTTGTATATGGTGAATGATATGGGTCCATTGTCATTCTTCTGCATGTGGACATTGAATTTTCTCAGAACCATTTATTAAAAAGACTGTGCTTTCTCCAAAGTGTGTTTTTGACAGCTTTGTCAAAAATTAGTTGCTGTAGAAGTGTAGAATTATTTCTGGGCTATTTTTTTTCCATTAGTCTATGTGTCTTTTATGTCAATACATAAATATATCTTCAATATATATGTTTTGGTTGCTGTAGCTGTGCATTATATATTGAAGTCAAGTGGTATTATACTTTCAAGTTTTAAATTTGGTTCTCATAATTGCTTTGGCTATTTGGGATCTTTTATAGTTCCATATGAATCTTATTTTCTTTTTTCTATTTCTATGTGGAATGTCATTGGAATATGATAGGGATTACATTGAAGATATAGATCGCTTTGGGTAGTATAGACATTTTAATAGTATTATTTTTTCCAATTGAGAACGCAGGATATCTTTCCATTTATTTGTATCTTCTTCGATTTTTTTTCACCAAGGTTTTGTAGTTTTTAGTTTACTAATCTTTCACCTGCTTAGATAAACTAATTGCTAGGTACCTTAGATTATTGTAGCTTTTGTAATTGGGATTGTTTTCTTGATTTCTTTCTCAGATAGTTCACTATTAGAATATAAAATGCTACTGATTTTAGTATGTTCATTTTGTATCCTGTGACTTATACATTTGTTTATTAGTTCTAATAGTTTCCGTGTGGAGTCTTTAGGATTGTCTGTATATAAGATCATGCTATCTGCAAACAGGGAAAAATCTGACTTTCTCATTTCCAATTTGGATGCCTTTTATTTATTTCTCTTGTTTACTTGTTCTGGCTAGGACTTCCAGTACTATATTGAATAAAAGTGGCCAAAGTGGGGATCCTTGTCTTATTTCAGATCTAAGAGGAAAAGCTTTCAACTTATCCCTATTTAGTATATGTTAGCTGACATTTATCATATACGGCCTTTATTGTGTTGAGGTATAAACCTTCTATACTTAATTTGCTGAAAGCTTTTATCATGAAGGGATATTGAATTTTGTCAGATGATTTTTCTGTGTCTATTGAACAGGTCTCTGGGTTGTTTTTTTTTTTTTTTTTTTGGAGACGGAGTCTCGCTCTTTCGCCCAGTCTCGCTCTTTCTCCCAGGCCGGACTGCAGTGGCGCTATCTCAGCTCACTGCAAGCTCCGCCTCTCGGGTTCACGCCATTCTCCTGCCTCAGCCTCCCGAGTAGCTGGGACTACAGGAGGTCTCTGGTTTTTGTCCGCCTTTTTGTTATTATGGTGTATCACTTCTATTGTTTTGCATATATTATTAAACCATCTTTGGATTTCTAAGATGAATTCCACTTGACCTTTTAAATAATCTTTCTAAAGTTCTGTTGAATTCAGCTTGCAAGTGTTTTGTTGTGGATTTTTGCATCTATATTCATTAAGAATATTGACTTGTAGATTTATCTGTTGTGTCCTTGCTGGTTTTGGTCTCAGGGTAATGTTGGCTTTATCAAATAAATTTGGGAATGTATTATCTTCTTTAATATTCTGGAATATTTTGAGGAGAATTGATCTTAGTTCTTCAAATTATTGTAGAAGTTAGCAGTGAAGCCATCAGGTCCTGGCCTTTTCTTTATGGGGGAGTTTTTATTACTGATCCAATTACCTCAGATGTTTTTGGTCTGTTCAGATTTTCTGTTTCTTCATAAATTAGTGTTGGTAGGCTACATGTGTCCAGGAATCTACTCATTTCTTCTAGATTATCCAATTCGTTGACATATGTTTGCTCATAAAAGTCTCTCAAGATGCTTTGTATTTCTGTGGTATTGGTTGTAATGCATCCTTTATAATCTCTGATTTTATTAATCTTTCTTTTTTCGTTAATCTTGCTAAAATTTTGTCAATTTATTTTATCTTTTCAAAAAACCAGCTTTTCCTTTTGTTGATGTTTTGTATTTTTGTAGTCTCTATTTTATTTATCTCTGCTCTATTTTTTTCTTTTCTACTAAATTTGGCTTTAGTTTGTTCTTGTTTTCCTAGTTCCTTGAGGTGCACAATTAGGTTGTTTATTTGAAATCTTTCTACTTTCTAAGGTAGGGATTTATTGCTGTAAACTTTCCCCTTAGAACTGCTTTTGCTGTATTTCATAGTTTTTAGTAGATTTTTGTTTTCATTTTTGTTTGTCTCAAGAAATTTATTTTTTTGCTTTAATTCTTTATTTTCCTATTGGTTATTCAGAAGCTTATTGTTTAATTTCCATATATTCATGAAATTTCCAAAGTTCCTCCTATTATTGATTTCTAATTTTAAATCATTGTGGTCAGAAAAGATATTTGATATAATTTATATCTTCTTCAATTTGTTAAGACTTGTTTCCTGCCCTAATATATAACCTAGCCTGAACAATTCTGCATGTGCAATTGAGAAAAATGTATAATCTGCAGCTTTTGGATAGAATATTCTTCAAATCTCTATTAGGTTCATATGGCCTACAGTACAGTTTAAATTTGCTGTTCTTTGTTGATTTTCTTACTGGATGGTCTGTCTATTGCTGGAAGTGGGATATTAATGTCCCTTACTATTATAATGTCATCTATCTCTCCTTTTAGATCTAATACTATTTCCTTTATATAGTTGAATACTCAAGTTTAGTGTGCATATAAATTTATAATTGTTATATCTTCTTGCTGAATGGATCTGTTTATTATTACAGAATTATGTCTCCTTTTAGAGTTTTTTATTTGAAATCTATTTTATCTGATACAGCTACTGCTGCTCAATTTTGATTTCTGTTTGCATGGAGTATCTTTGTCTATCCCTTCACTTTCAGTCTATCTGTGTCTTTACAAATGAAATGAGTCTCTTGTAGACAGTATGTAGTCGGGTTTGTTTTAAAAATCCATTTAGCCACTCCATATATATATTTTTTTCTTTTTTGAAACAGAGTCTCGCCCTGTTGCCCAGGCTGGAGTGCAGTGGTGCGATATTGGCTCACTGCAACCTCTGCCTCCCAGGTTCAAGCAATTCTCTTGTCCCAGCCTCCTGAGTAGCTGGGACCATAGGCATGCACCACCATGCCTGGCTAATTTTTGTCTTTTTAGTAGAGACGAGGTTTCACCATGTTGGCCAGGTTGGCCTCAAACTCCTGACCTCAAGTGATCCGCCCACCTCAGCTGCCACTCTGTATGTTTAATTGGATAAATTAATCCATTTACATTCAAGGTTATTATTGATACATAAGCACTTCTCTATTTTGTTAATTTTTGCCTGGATGTTTTGTAGATCTGTTATTTTTTTCTTTTCCTCTTGTATTTTACCATTGTGATTTTTTTATTGTGCTAAACTTTGATTCCTTTCTCTTTCTTATTCATGCATCTGCTGCAATTTCTTTCTTTGTGGTTGCAATAGGGCTCTTAAAGAATCTTGTAGTTACAAAATAGAATATTTTAAGCCAACAACAACTTAACTTTGGTCACATAAAAATACTGTAAATTTTTACTATTTTGTCCACAACTTTTTTTTTGCCTTAATTTGTATCTTTGTATGTTATATTTTTCTTAACAACTTATTGTAGCTATAGTTATATTTTATTATTTTGACTTTTAGCCTTCATAATACAAATTTGAAAGATTTACATACCTACATTATAGTTCTGTCATATTCAGAATTTTGTTATGAATTTACCTCTACTAGTGAGTTTTACACTTTCACCTATTTTCATGATCATAATTATCATTTTTTTGCTAAATCTGTTGATAATCTAATGAGAATTCTTTTATATGCAACTTGATATTTTCCTTTTGCTGCTTTTACAATTCTCTCTTTGTCTTTGGATTTTGACAGTTTTATTATAATGTGCCTCTGAGAGGACAATTTTGGGTTTAATCTATTGGGGGAATTTTGGATTTCCTGGATCTAAATGTTCGTATCTGTGTCAAAACTAGGGACAATTTTAGCTACTATTTTGTTAAACAGGTTTTCTCCATCTCTTCTCCCTCTTGAAATTTCATGATGCAAGTATTTGTTTACTTAATAGTGTCCCATAAGTCCTGTAGTCTTTCTTCATTCTTTTTATTCTTATTTCTTTTTCCTCCTCTGACTGGTTATTTGAAGGGACCTGCCTTCAAGTTCAGAAATTCTGCCTTTTACAGTCTGTTGTTGAAACTCTCAATCACATTTTTTATTAGTTTTTATTTAATTATTCAGCTCCAAGACTCCCCTTTGGTTCTTTTTTATAATCTATTTTGTTGTCATTGTTGAATTTCTCATAATGAATTTTTTCTTGATATTATTGCATATTTTTAATCTGTATTCTCTTATATCTCACCTAGTTTCCTTAAGATCATTATGTTGAATTCCTTTTTAGACATTTAGCAAATGTCCTTTTCTTTGCTATCTGTTATTAGAAAACTATTGTGGTCTTTTGGGGGTATCATATTTCCTTGCCTTTTCTTGGTGTGTTGTGTACTTCTGTTGATCTCTGTGCATCTGGTGGAACAGTTGCCTATTTCAATTTTATGGAGTAACTTTCATATGAATAAACTTTTTCCTTTAAATGGGTTCTAGGGTGTTGGTTGGGTATGGTGCATTGGCTTTGGTTATGGGTGGAAAGAGTAGTGTAGTCTCCATGTAGTTTCTTCAGCTGTAACCCTTGTCAGTGATGTCTGTAAGTGCTTAAGTGACCTAGGCTGCAGGAGTTCATGGCAGTAGTAGTGTGGCTTTGCTGAGAGCAGGGCATTGGGCTGGTTCTCAGGTCAGAGGCATACATGCACAGCAGGTTATCTGGCTCAGGGGTGAGCTTGTTACAGGTGGGCTTTTCAAGGGTAGAGCCATTTAGGTTTTCAGGACTTTCAGGCCAAGGGCATGCATGCAATAATTCAGCTGGCTCAGGGGTGGCTTTCTCACTATGCAATACCACCTGTTCCTTGGGGGAGCAGGGTGCTGCATGGGCTTGGGTGCCAGAGTTATGGCCATTCCACTGGGCCTAGTCTCTGATCAGCCAGAATCATAGTGCTGCAGCCACCCATGAGAGTGTAGTGGAATGACAGTGGAGCCTCAGAAATGGAGAAATACAATGGCTACTTGCTCTCAAAGCAAGGCACACTCCAGCAATTGCGCTGGTTTCAAGATGGCACCATGCTGTAGCAGCTTGGGTCATGAGGTTGGGTGGTACACAAAATGGGCTCCTACTCTAGAACAATACACTTATATGATTTCCAGGAAGCTCCCCAAATTTGGGTCAGGGCATGTGAGGGCTGTAGAATTCTCCTGAAATGAGAACTACAGGTGTCCATGGTGACAATGGAGCCTGCTGGTTGTCTCCAGCTTACTTTTTCCCTGCAAAGAGAAGTCCCTCCTGGCTCCAAGTCAGTTCTGGTAGGGAAAATAGGAAAGCAGAGGCAGGGTCCTTTGCTCCCCTGTCTGTGCTGTCATCCTGGGTTGTCGTGTTCTGCAGAGATTTCATCACTCCCTTGCTACACTGCAGCACTTTCCTTCAAACACCCCAGTCAAATTATAGTTATTCATTCATAATTTTGGTTTGTGTTTTTTTTGTTTTTCAGGGAGGATGAGCACCAGGCACATCTAGTTAGCCATTTGCTCTTTCTCCTGAACCTCATTGTTTTCATAAAAGAGTAGTGATGAAGCTTTTATGCTTTTACTGACAACTGTCTTAATTGTCACTCAAATAAGATCAGGCAGATTTAGCGGAAGAGACTCAGGTGAAGTCTGTGGAATTTAAACAATTATTTTGAATTCTTATGCCTACTTTCATAGAAAATACTTTTTTTCACATTTACCAGTGAATAATATTTTCCTAATGTTTACAATAATGGATTTTAATATGTAAATATATAAATCCCTTGGACATCACATTTGTAAAGTAATTAAGAAAGATAGTGAACAAATATAAAATGAATAGTCAATAAATGTTAGCACATTATTTTTAAAGTCATTATTGAGATTTTTTAAACTCAGAAATGATATAATATACTGTATATTTTTAAGTTCATATTATTTTCTGTTTGTGTTTATTGCTTTATGCGTGACTACTTCTAATTTTCACTTTCACTGAATCAATTTCATTTAAGTATCAGTAAAGACTGCATTGTAATATTTTAACATTTATATGAATAAATACATTTTACAATGAGCTGCTTTCATTTAAAGGACCACAAAACATTTTCCCAGTGTGCTTTCTGCATTGTATTTATGAAATTCATGTCACTCAGAAATACCTTTTGGAAGCCTGATAGACATGGTTCTGAGAAACAAATGAGATGGAGGTAGAAAACAATAAAATATGCATTATTTATTGTGTATTTATTTTTAATATTTGCAAATATGTACTGATGGAGCAATCTCTGAGTTCATTTGCAAAAATTAAAGAAGAATTGTATCAAACGCAGATGCTGTACTTCCATCATAAGTAGATTAATAGAAAATTTTTATCCTTTTTTCAATTGGAAAAGATAAACAGATGTTTCAAAGAGCAATCAGAAATACTTTCAATTTCTTAGAATCTAAAAAAAAATTAGGATAGTAAGTTTTTTTTTTACATTTTCTTCCACTGAAGCAAGTAAGAGAATACTTTATGTATACTGTATATATTAGAATACCTCTGTATACATTTTAAGCCAATTTTATTTTTGTTTTTCAATGCTCCATATAAGAAAAGGGTTTCTCTCTTTATTGTAATAATATTACTTTTCTTTGGAGAGTCCAGGTTGTGTGAAGGAGCTAATTATACTTTGATGAGTATGAAAAAATCAGTGAAAACTAAAAATTAGGATCTAGAATCTGTAGGGAAAAGATATTCAAAGCAAGGCAAGTGGAATCTGCTTAAAGCTAGTTAATAAGTCATAATATATTCCAGCTTTTGGAAGAAATAAAAATTCCAACTAAATTGAGAACAGAATTAATTAGGAGCATCCTTGAATTATTGATACCAGTTGAGCTGTTTTAATATGATCTATCTTATCAGTCTCCTCATAGTCTTTATGGCTTTCTTGGTTCTCCCAATCCAAGATTCCAACATTGCAATTCTGATTCATGTTCTCTCTAAGTTTGGTTTTCAGCATGCTTGAAGCATCACAAAACTCTTTTTTCAGAATACTTTTGACTACAAGAAATACAATACCAGCCAAAAGTGGCTTAAACAATGAGAATGTTTAATTAACTAATATTACGATAAACTAAAAAGTGAACAGTTCCAGAGTTGAGCAGCGGCCCAATTTTGACATCAATTTTGAAAATTCTGAGATACTTTCCATCTTCTCTTATGTCTTATGTTGGGGATGGACAATGTTTTCCCTCCAAGCAGAAGATGGCCGCTATAGTTCAAAATGTCATGTCCAGGGACTGTGACTTCCAAAATGGTGATCAAGTTGCTCTGGGAAGGCTCTCCCCAGTGGAAAAAACATAACTGGTGAAAATTATTTTTGAAAAATACACTACGTACAGTTTTAAGTCTCTAGAAATTGTCATAAGGGCATACAACATATGGATAAAACTTTAATTTAAAAAGCTACTAAATCTCAGTAAGAAAAATGAGAGTCTGTGACATTTGACCCATGACTCAATTACATATACAGCAGTTGAAAAATATTAGGCCACAAGTGCCCTCACCCCAACTTATTCATAGGGCTAAGGTTGCACACTAGAAGAGGCAAGCGAATAAGTCACGGGAATTTCATCCCCACAAGTGTCTCACTCATACGATAAGGGTATCACTCTATGTGCGCTGCTGTCCCTGCCCCCAGCTCCAAAGCAGTAGCACAGAGTTTCTGTTCAGAGAAAGATGCAGGTTCAGAGAAAGATGCAGGAACATAGAGCTCTGTACCTCTCCCTAAGGGACTGACTTTAATTGGGACAGATTGTGAGGAGGTTGAATCCTAAGGGTACAGTTAAAAAGAGTGAAGATTTTAGTGGTGAACCATTAAGAGGATGCTGTTTGTTTCATGGTAGCAACAATTGAAACATGAAATCAGCTGAAAAGTTTAATGTGGAGAACCAGGGAAAGAGACAGCTAAGAAGTGTCCTCCTGGTGTTTAAAAACCAGGAAGACTACCATTACAAGGGAGCTTGAATTTAATTATATCAGAGTATAGAGCAATTTATGTTAAAGCAGTTGTCAAAAGAAATGGAATAGTAAGCTAGCAATTAGTAGAGGCTAACAACTGAATGTGATACTAACAGAGAAAACCAGCTTGAATCGTAATACGTAAATAAGAGAAAGTAAAGAGAGACCATCTAAAATCACTAGCATTCAAGGAAGCAAGCAAGGTCAGGTTGACTGTGCACATAACCAAGACTGCAGACTCTAAGAGTGACATCAGAAGGTGTGCACCGCAGAGGAAATAGACTTCACTGAAATACTTCAGCTAAGTTACTAAGTAAATGAAAAGCAAGCAACAATATCAAATTCTGTGTGAATATCCAGAGTTACGCCAATTTGTTATTTTAATTAACTAGTCTGAGAGAGAGAGAGTGAGAGAGAGCGAGCAAAATAGAGAGAGATACAGAGAGAGACATGAAAAATAACAGGAAAGTGTCACTCATACATGTGAAAAAAGTGAGGCATTAGAAACTGTCTCTGAGTATATCCAGGTGCCACACTTAGCAGACAATTATGTCAAGAACCTATTATTAACATGTTTAAGGATCTAAAAGAAAGTATGATGACAATGTCTCATTAAATAGGGTATATTAAAGATAGAAATTGTTTTAAAATCTAATGGAAATCCTGGAATTGAAAAGCACAATAGAAATAAAAACTTTACTAGAGATCCTGAGGAGTAGTTTGGCTGGCAGAAAATAGAATCAGTAAATTGAAAGACAGATAAATATTACGCAATGTGAAGAAGAGAGAGAAGAAGGAATGGAGAAAAATGAACATTCTCTCAAAGAAATGCGGCATATATGATGAATATTAGGCAACATATAACAGGAATACAAGAAGGAGAGGAGAGGGAAAAAAGCAGAAAAAGTTTTGGGAGAAATAATAGCTGAAAACTTCTCAACTATGATGAAACACATTGATTTACATATCTACAAAAATCAATAAACTTGAACTAGGGTAGACACTGAGCTATCCACACTCCGATTCCTCAAGAATCAGAATGTTGGAGAAAAAAACAGCAGAAAAAGTTTTGGGAGAAATAATAGCTGAAAACTTCTCAAATATGATGAAACACATTAATTTACATATCTATGAAAATCAATAAACTTGGACTAGGATAGACATCGAGATATCCACACTCAGATTCCTCAAGTGTCAGAATGTTGAAAGACATAACTTCATTTGGAAAACAGGGCCTATAGGAAACAACATGGTAGTCACCAGGCCACAGCACATATCCAGTTATGCAGGACAGAAATGAGATGAAACATTCTCCTAAGAGTGAACTTAGTTTCTAGACCAGCCAGTCTTGCAATTACTGGCTTTAATTTTTGAGAGAATCTACCATGTCTGTTATGCTCTGTGACCACACTGGAGATGGACATTCAGCAGAATGCTTCTGCCGGGGTCCATTTCCAGGCCCATTTCCTTTTATCACCTATTTGAGAAATCAGATACTTAATTACATTAATATTGTCCAAACTTGAAGTTTTTCTCACACAATATCTTCTTTAGAAAGTAATATGGTTTTAATTAATTCCCACATTTTAAACTTCATAGGCCATTAATGAATGTAAAAAAGCCTGTTGGGCTTTTAAATATAGAAGACTCTGTAGAAATATTTAGTTCCCAGAAAGCAGCTGTGGCTTCAATACTTTGCTGATCTGGAGGCCCTGATTTAGATGCTGTCAATCTTAGCCTCTGCTTTAGAAGTGTTGGGGAAAAAATATATTGGCATGGGAAAGAATGACTAATATATTCCTTTCCTTATGGGTGCATTCCAATTGCATCTTGTCAACAAGAGCGATTGTTCCCTTCATCTGATAGAGAAAGCCAAACAGGAGGTTCTCAACAGAGACCTGCAGGCATCAGCAGACTTTTAAAGTATAGGTCAGGTAATAAATATTTTAGGGTTTGCTGGCCATGAAATGTTTCTGACCATATTCTTTGTTGTTTCATTTTACACTTTAAAAATATAAAATACATTATTACCTGTGAGCAGTATGCGAGAAGGCCTAGTGTGAAATCTGACATATGGGTTGTAGTTGGCCACGCAGTGGCTAGTGGATGAGGTTTCTACCATATCTGATCCTTCTTCTTGCTGTGTATCCTACCTCCCAGCCTTTGCTAACAATAATTTCAGCTTAGGATAAAGAGTTATTCTCTTCCAAACCAAATTACTGTACCTGTACCCACCCAGATTATAAACAGACAGAAGAGGACTGTCTTACTAAAAATGTAATGTCTTTCCTCTCTAAATTAATTACTTTCTCATGCAATATTATTGAAGCTGGAAAGAGGTATCCATCATACTCCAATGTCTTGAATGTATCCTATGAAATCACCTAATGCTAGAGCACTGGAATTCCCAAGATCCGTTTCCCCAAAAGCTAAAGACATGCGTTTAATTTTTTTTTCTACTGCATAAAAAGGATTGTCAATATTCAGCCCAGACTACAGAGTTACATTCTGCATTCTATCTGATTCCAGACAATCGATGTCTACTTGTTAGAATGTTATATTTAGCATCCTATTTCTGAATGTCTGAATCAGTTAGGGTATTTCTGTTTTCAAGGGATAGAAAACCTTTTTAGGCAAATTATAGATATATGATTAGACAGATAGATAAATCATAGATAGATAGTAGATCCTATAGACTCATGAACCTGGATCATTACTTGACTGAGTTTATACATAACCTTTTGTTGAATTCAAATAATATCATTAAGAATTGGTTTCTTTAATTCTCAGCTGATATCTCAGTGTTGCCTCCATTTCAAGCCCTTCACTATAAGATGGCCGTAGCAACTTCATACCTTAAATATTATTAAATAATACACAATTTTAAAGAGCGAATCTTTTTTTAATGGTTGCAAAAGTTTCATTATATTTCACTATTTGTGACAGGGTCCTGTTTCTGTTAAGCCAATCGGCTAGGCTATAGAAATAGGTATTCTCATTTATTTGGCCTCAGTTACATGTCTGGGAAAGGGAGTAAAATATTGTTCATTCTACACGTGAACTGAAGGTGGAGGGAGGTGTTATATCTAAATGGTGTATTGTTATGAGAATAATGATAAGAATAACAACAAACATTTATATAGTGCTTGTTATGGGCCAGGTACTATAAAAGCTCTTCGTAAGCATTAACATATTTAATTCTCATAGTAAGCTTAAGATATAGGTACTATTACTGTTATTATTTTACACTGAGAAAATTGGAGACAAAAGAGGTTAAGTAAATTGTCTAAGGTAGTACACCTGGTTAACAGGAGTGGAGCTATAATGAACCCAAGTCTAGCTGGCTCTAAAGTCCAGCCTTTTATCGAGAGTACATGTAATTCAGAAATACATAAATCACAGTATACTTAAAATGCCTTTTAAACAGGATTTGATTAAAATCATACAATTATTCGTTGAGAATGCTTGGCTCTATATTCTATAAAATGAAAGTGACATAATTCCATATTAATGTATCAAAAACAGTACGATTATATGGAAGTTCCAGCTGTAATTTTTTGAGTCACCTCCATTTTGTTTTCCATAGCTGAGGTAACATTTTACATGTCCACAAACAGTTTACAAGAGTTGCAGTTTCTCTACATCATCACCAACACTTAACTTTTTTCTGTTTTGTTTAGTTTGTCTGTTTATAATAACCATCCTAACAGATGTGAGGTGATATTTCATTGTGGTTTTCATTTGCATTATGCTGATGATTAGTGATGTTGTATATCTTTTCATATACCTGTTGGCTATTTGTATGTCTTCTCTGAAGAAATATCTATTCAAATCTTTTGCCCATTTTTAATTAGATTGTTTTATTGCTTTTGAGTTACATAGTTTTTTATATTTCAAACATATGGTTGGCAAATATTTTTTCCCATTCTTTAGGTTGCCTTTTTATTCCAATTGTTTTATTTGCTGTGCAGATTTATCCCATTTGTCTATTTTCTCATTTGTTGCTTGCTCTTTTCATGTCGTATCCAAGAAATCATTGCCTAGACCAATGTTGCTGTGGTTTGGATGTTTGTCCCCTCAAACCTCATGTTAAAATTTGATCCTTAAGGTTGAAGATGGGGTCTAACGGGACATGTTTGGGTCATGGGGGCAGATTTTTCATGAATAGACTAGTTCTCTCTCAGGGGTGAGTGTTTCCTCACTTTATTAGTTCCCATAAGAGCTGGTTGTTTAAAAGAGCCCAGCACCTTTTCCCTCTCTCTCTCTTTCCTCCTGTCTTCCCATGTGATCTCTGCACAGGCCAGGTCCCCTTTGCTGTCTGCCATGACTGGAAGCAGCCTGAGGCTCTCACCAAATGCAGATGCCCACTTTTGAACTTTCCAACCATCAGAATCTTGTGCCAAATAAACCTATTTTCTTTAGAAATTACCCAGCCTCAGGTATTCTTTTATGCAACATTAAATGGACTTAAGAGAAACATCATGAAGCTTTTCCTCTGTGTTTTATTCTACAAGTTTAACAGTTTCAGGTTTTACATTTTGAGTTCTTTTTGTGTATGGAATATAAGGTTGTAATTTTATTTATATACATATGGATATTCTGTTTTCCTAATGCCATTTACTGAAGAGACTGTCTTTTCCCCATTGTTTATTCTTGGAATCCTTGTTGAAGATCAGTTGACCATGTATCTGTGGGTATGTTTCTGGGTTTCTATTCTATTCCATTGTCCATTTCATATGTCTTTTATGTCTGTTTTCTATGTCTGTTAGTAATTGTCAATGCAATACTCTTTTAATTACTGTAACTTTGTGATATATTTTGAAACCAGAAATCGTGATGTCTACAGCTTTGTTATTGTTTTAATCAAAACTGCTTTGGTTATTCAATGTGTTCCATAGCTCCATACAACTTTTAAGATTGTTTTCTATTTCTGTGAAAAATGTCATTTGAATTTTGACAAGAATTATATAAAATCTGTAGATTGATTTTTGAAGTATGAATATTTTAACAATATTAAGCAGTCTAATCCATGAAAATGGGATGTATTTTCATTTATCATATAGCAGTATCACTTCTGGGTATATATTCAAAGGGACTAAAGCATGATTTTAAAAGATATTTGCACCCTATGTTCACTGAAGCATTATTTACAATAGCCATGTTAAGGATTCAAGACAAATGTCACCTGAGGAATTAATGGATAAAGAAAATGTGGCATGTATATATATATATATATATATATATATATATACACACACAATGAAATACTCGAAATACTCAGCTTTCAAAAAGAAGGACATTCTGGCATATGGAACAATATGGATGAATAGTAAGTATATTACGCTAAGTGAAAGAAGCCAGTCACAGGACAAATACTGCATGATTTCACTTAACATGACGTGTCAAAAGTAGTCAAACTCATAGAAATGGAGAGTAGAATGGTGGTTGCCAGGGTAGTTGCTGTTCAAGAGATATGAGGTCTCAGGATAATTTTGAGGGAACTGCTATGCAACATTGTGGCTATTTTTAATAATACTTTATTCTGTCCTTAAAAATTTGTTCAAGGTAAAATTCATGTTAAGTGTTCACCACACACAAACACACACAAAAAGGAAAAAAATAAGAAAGTGAATAGAGAGGGAGGAGTCAATGGAATCTTTGTAGGTGACTCTTTATGCCTAATTTTTGAATGTTTTAGAAATGTTTGAGTGTGTCCATATATTCATATATTGCTCTATAATACATTAGTAATTTTAAAATGATAATTATACAAAAATTATATTAAAAATTGACATAATTTGTTAAAAATAGAATTGGGGTGGGTTCCAACATAATCTATATTTACCATATTAGTAGGATTAAGCAGAATAATGTCCATAGCAATCAGATTTAAATTGTCTTTGTATATATGTATACATATGTATATATTTACACACACACACACACATATATACATATATATTTTTCTTTTTTAATCCACATTTTCATATTTGTTGCTGTATCTTTACTCAGGATGCTTATTACCCTTTATGGGTTTATTCACTTACTCACAATATTGACCTTGATACATTTTCTTAACCTTTTGACAGAAAGAATTTTCCCTCCTTCAATATTATGAAAACAGATCTCCCTCTTGTAAATTAGATTGATCCCTCCTACGCACCACTGTCATACTTTCCCAAATCTAAATATGACTATTTAATCACAAGATACCTATTAGTATAATTATTGATCACCATAATTACACATATAAACATTATATTAGGAATCATCCACAGTTCAATGTATCTCTTAATAGATGATGAAAAATAGCTTTAAAGTAGTTATGTTAACCCAAAACAATATGACAGAACCCACACCTGTCAAACTTTTGATGGGACACTTTCAAATTAGCAATGTTTGACAAAGCTTTAAAATTAGTTGAAAATATAAATATAAAAGTTTATTTTTAATGGCTTATGATTTATAGTCAATAAATATTTGCATTTAAAACTTATACTTTGATACGTTTTAACACAAATACATATCCATGTAACATTATACTTAATATAAATATCTACATTACCCCCAAAGGCTTTCAATCCCTTTATAACCCCACCCTCTCATCTCATACCAGACAACTCCTCTGCCTCCAAGAAACTACTGATCTGTTTCTGTTACAATAGATTAATTTGCACTTTAAAAATATTTATTTATTTTATATTTCAGAGGCAGTGTCTCATTTTGTCATCCAGGCTTCATAGCAATGGTGTGATCATAGTTCACTAAAACCTCGAACTCTTAGACTCAAGGCATCCTCCCACCTTAGCCTACCAAATCACTAGGACTATAAGTACACACTACCCTGCTGGGATAATTAAAACAAACAAAAATTTTTAGAGACAGGTTCTCGCTATGTTGCCCAGGCTGGTCTGCAACTATGAACCTCAAGTGATCCTCTCTCCTCAGCCTCCCAAAGCACTGTGTGTTTTAAAATTTTATGTAAGTGAGATTTTACATCATATTTTTGTCTGTCTGCTTAAATCTGCATAATTATTTTGAAATTCACCAATGTTTCTGCATGTTCAAATAGTTCATTCGTTTATATTTCTAAGAAATATCCCAGTATGTGGATATGTCAAAATTTGTTTATTCATTAACCTATAGATGGAAATTTGACTTTTTTTTTTTCATTTTTTTGCTATTACAATAAAGCTGCTATGAACATTCATGCACAAGTTTTTGTACAGGTGTGTTGTCTTATATCTTGGATAAATACCTAAGGGTAGAAAGACTAGATTATATAATGCATGTATATTTAACTTTTTAAAAACTACCAAACGTTTTCCCAAAGTGGCTGTACCACTACTAAGTGAGAACATATGGCTGTTTGGTTTTCTCATCCTGTATTAGTTTGCTGAGGATATTAGCTTCCAGCTCCATCCTTGTCCCTGTAAAGGACAAGATCTCATTACTTTATATGATTGCATGATGTATTCCATGTTGTATATGTACCACATTTTCTTTATTCTGCCTATCTTTGATGGGCATTTGGGTTGATTCCATGTCATTGCATAGTGTTGCAATTAACATATGTATGCATGTATCTTTATAATATAATTATTTATATTCCTTTGAGTATATACCCAGTAATGGTATTGCTGGGTCAAATGGTATTTCTGCCTCTAGGTCTTTGAATAATCACCACACTGTCTTCCACAATGGTTGAACTATCTTACACCAACAATGTGTAAGTGTTCCTTTTCCTCCACAGGCTTGACAGCATCTGTTGTTTCTGGACTTTTTAATAACTGTCATTCTGACTGGTGTGATAGTATCTCATTGTGGTTTTGATTTGCATTTCTCTAATGATCAATAGTGTTGAGCTTTTTTTCCTAAGTTTGTTGGCTGCATGTATGTTTTCTTTTGAGAATTGTCTGTTCATGTCCTTTGCCCACTTTTTAATTGGGTCGTTTGTTTTTTTCTTGTAAATTTGTTTATGTTCCTTGTAGATTCTGGAAATTAGATGTTTGTCATGTGGAAAGATTATAAACCTTTCTCCCATTTTTTAGGTTGTCTGGTCACTCTGGTAATAGTTTCCTTTCCTGTGCTGAAGATCTTCCGACCATTTGTCAGTTTTTACTTTTGTTGCAATTGCTTTTGGCATTTTAATCATGAAATATTTGCCCATGCCTATGTCCTGAATGGTAGTGCCTACATTTTCTTCTAGGGTTTTTATAATTTTGGGTTTTACATTCAAGTCTTTAATCAATCTTGAGTTAATTTTTGTATTTGTGTAAGGAAGGGGTCCAGTTTCAACTCTATGCATATGGCTACCCAGTTCTCCCAGCACCATTTATTAAAAACAGAATCCTCTCCCTGTTGCTTGTCTTTTTGTCAGGTTTGTCAAAGATCCAGTGGTTTTAAGTGTGCAGTCTTATTTCTGAGTTGTCTATTCTGTTCCATTGGTCCAGTAGCATCCTTTTTGGTTACTGTAACCTTGTAGGATAGTTTAAAGATGGTTAGTATAATGCTTCCAGCTTTATTCTTTTGCTTAGGATTGCCTTGGCTATTCAGGCTCTTTTTTGGTTAGCTATGAACTCTAAAATAGTTTTTTTCTAATTCTGTGATGAATGTCAGTGGTAGTATAATGGCAATAGCAATCAATCTACAAATTGCTTTGGGCAGTATGGCCATTTTCATGATACTAGTTCTTCCTATCCATGAGCATGGAATGTTTTTCCACTTGATTTTGTCCTCACTGATTTCTTTGAGCAGTGGTTTGTTGTTCTCTTTGAAGAGATCCTTCACTTCCCTTGTTAGCAGTATTCCTAGGTATTGCATTCTTTTTGTAGGAATTGTGAAAGAGAGTTCATTTATGATTTGGCTCTCTGCTTGCCTGTTGTTGGTGTATAGAAATGCAAGTGATTTTTGCATACTGATTTTGTATCCTGAGAGTTTGCTGAAGTTTCTTATCAGCTTAAGAAGGTTTTGGGCTGAGAGAATGGGGTTTTCCAGGTATAGTATTATGTCATCTACAAACAGATACTTTGAATTTCTTTCTTTCTATTTGAATATGCTTTATTTCTTTCTCTTGCCTGATTGCCCTGGCCATAACTTTTAATACTCCCTCAAATAGGAGTGGTGAGAGAGGGCATCCTTGTCTTGTGCCAGTTTTCAAGGGGAATGTTTCCAGCTTTTGTCCATTCAGTATGATGTGGGTTTGTCATATATGGCTCTTATTATTTTGAGGTATGTTCCTTCAAAACCTAGTTTATTAAGACTTTTTAACATGAAGGTATGTTGAATTTTATCAAAGGGCTTTTCTGCATCTATTGAGATAATCATGTGTTTTTTGCCTTTAGTCCTGTTTATGTGATGAATCACATTTATTGATATGTGTATGTTGAACCAACCTTTCTTCCTGAGGAGTGGGATGAAGACAACTTGATCTTGGTAGATAAGCTTTTTAATGTCCTGCTGTATTTGGTTTGCCAGTATTTTATTGAGGATCTTTCCATTGATGTTTATAAAGGATATTGGCATTAAGTTTTCTTTTTTTGTTGTATCTCTGCCAGGTTTTGGTATCAGAATGATGCTGGCCTGCCTCATAGAATGAGTTAGGGAGGAATCCCTCCTTTTCAATTTTTTGGAATAGTTTCAGTAGAAAAGGTGCCAGCTCTTCTTTGCACCTCTGGTAGAATTCAGCTATAAATCCACCTGGTCCTGGGCATTTATTTGGTAGATAGGCTATATATTACTCCCTCAGTTTGAGAACTCATTATTGGTGTATTCAGGGATTTAATTTCTTCCTGATTCAGTGTTGGGAGGGGATATGTGTCCAGGAATTTATCAATGTCTTCTAGATTTTCTAAGTTATATATGTATAGAGGTGTTTACAGTATTCTCTGATGGCTGTTTGTATTTTTGTGGGGTAAGTGATGATATACCCCTTATCATTTCTGATTGTGTTTATTTGAATCTTCTCTCTTTTCTTCTTCATTATTGTAGATAGCAGTGTATCTATTTTATTATTTAAAAAACTATTAGATTCATTGATTTTTTGAGTCTTAGTTCCTTCAGTTCAGCTCTGATCTTGGTTATTGTTTGTCTTCTGCTAGCCTTGGGGTTTGTCTGTGCTTGGTTCTCTAGTTCTTTTAGTTGAGATGTTAGGTATTTAACTTGAGATATTTTTAGCTTTTTGATGTGGGCATTTAGCGCTATAAAATTCCCTCTTAACTTTGCTATAGCTGTGTCCCAAAGATTCTGGTACATTGTCTCTTTGTTCTCATTAGTTTTTGAGAACTTACTGATTTCTGTATTAATTTCATTATTTACTCAAGAATCATTCAGAAGCAGGTTTCTAATTTCAATGTAATTGTGTAGTATTGAGTGAGTTTCTTAATCTTGAGTTTTAATTTGATTGTACTGTGGTCTGAGAGACTGTTATGAATCAAGTTACTTTGCATTTGCTGAGCAGTGTTTTACTTCTGATTACACGATCAATTTTACAGTAAGTGCCATGTGGCTATGAGATGATGTGTTGTTTTGGCATGGAGAGTTCTGTAGATATCTATCAGGTCTACTCGATTCATAGCTGAGTTCAGTTCCTGAATATCTTTGTTAGTTTTCTGTCTTGATCTGTCTAACATTGTCAGTGGGTTGTTGTAGTCTTCCACTATTATTGTGTGGGAGTCTAAGTCTTTTTGAAGGTCTCTAAGAACTTCCTTTATGAATCTGGGTGCTCCTGTATTGCTTGCATGTATTTTTAAGATAGTTAACTCTTCTTATTGAATTGAACCCTTTACCATTACGTAATGCCTTTCTTTTTAAAAAAAATCTTCGTTGGTTTAAAGTTTGTTTTGTCAGAAATAAGGATTGCAACCTGTATTAGTCCATTCTCACACTGCTATAAAGACATACCTGAGACTGGGTAATTTCTAAAGCAAAGAGGTTTAATTGACTCAGACTTCTGCATAGCTGTGGAGTCCTCAGGAAACTTACAATCATGGTGGAAGGTGAAGGGGAAGCAAGGATCTTCTTCACATGATGTCAGAAGAGAGAAGAGAAAGCAAAGGGGGAATAGCCCCTTATAAAACTATCAGATCTCATGAGAATTCTCTCACTATCATGAGAACAGTATAGGGGAAAACTGTACCCATAATCCAATCACCTCTCACCAGATTCTTCCCTCAACAACTGGGGATTACAATTCAAGATGAGACTTGGGTGGGAGTACAAAGTCTAACCATATCATTCTGCCCATGGCCCCTCCCATGTCTCATGTCCCTTCCACATTTGAAAACCAATCATGCCTTCCTAACAGTCCCTCAAAGTCTTAATTCACTACAGCTTTAACCCAAAAGTCCAAGTCCGAAGTCCCATCTGAGTCAAGGTAAGCCACTCCCACCTAGCAGCCTGTAAAATTAAAAGCTACTTCCAAAATACTATGGTGGTACAGGTATTGTATAAATGCTCCCACTCCAAATGGAAGAAATTGGCCAAAACAAAGGGGCTTCAGGCCCCATCCAAGTTCGAAATCCAGTGGGGCAGTCATTAAATCTTAAAGCTCTGAAATAATCTCCTTTGACTCCATGTCTCACATTCAGGTCACACTGACGTAAGAGGTGGGTTCCTATAGCCTTGGGTAGCTCTGTTCCTTTGTCTTTTGAGGATACACCCCCCTGTCCCTGCTGCTTTCATGGCGGGTGGTAAATTTCTGCAGCTTTTCCAAGTGCCTAATGCAACCTCTCAGTGGATCTATCGTTCTGGTGTCTGAAGGATGGTGGTCCTCTTTACATAGCTCTCCAAGGCAGTGGTCTAGTGGGGACTCTGTATGGGAGCTCTAACCCCACATTTCCCTTGTGCACTGCCCTAGCAGAGATTCTACATGAAAGCTCCACCCATACAGCAACCTTTGACTGGACATTCAAGAATTTTCATACATCCTCTGAAATCTAGGCGGTAGTTCCCAAACCTCAATTCTTGTCTTCTGCATACCTAGACAAACACCATGTGGAAGCTCCAAGGCTTGGGGCTTGTACCCTCTGAAGCAATGGCCTGAGCTATACCTTGGCCCCTTTTAGCCATGGCTGTGGTGGCTGCGTCACAGGGGACCAAGTCCCAAGACTGCACACACTGGGGGGCCCTGAACCCTGCCACAAAAGTATTTTTCCCTAGTAGGCCTCCAGGCCTGAGATCAGGGAGCTGTTGCAAAGGTCTCCGACATGCACAGGAGACATTTGCCCCATTTTCTTGGTGATTCACATTTGGCTCCTCATTACTTATGCAAATTTCTGCAGTCAGTTTGAATTTCTTCCCAGAAAATAGATTTTTCTTTTCTACCACATCATTAGGTTGCAAATGTTTTAAACTTGTATGCTCTGCTTCCCTATTATACATAAGTTCCAATTTCAAATCATCTCTCTCAAGTTCAAAGTTCCACCGATCTCTAGGGCAGGGGCAAAATGCTGCCAGTCTCTTTGCTAAAGCATAGCAAGAGTGACCTTTGCTCCAGTTCCCAATAAGTATCTCATTTCCCTCTGAGACCTCCTTAGCATAAACTTCATTGTCCATGTCACTATCAGTATTTTGGTCAAAACCATTCAACAAGTCTTTAGGAAGTTCCAAACTTTCCAACATCTTCCTGTCTTCTTCTTCTTCTTCCAAACTCTTTTAACCTCTTCCTGTTACCCAATTCCAAAGTCACTTCCACATTTTTGGGTGTCTTCATAGCAGTGCCTCACTACATTAGTACCAATTTTTTCCTATTAGTTCCTTCACACACTAATATAAAGACATACCTGAGCCTGGGTAATTTGTAAAAGAAAAATATTTAATTAACTCACAGTTCCACATGGCTGGGGAGGACTCAGGAAACTTACAATCATGGTGGAAGGTGAAGGGAAAGCAAGGGCCTTCTTCACATGGCAGCATAAAAGAGGAAGTGAAGGAGAAAGAGCCCCTTATAAAACAATCAGATGTCATGAGAAATCACTCACTATCACAAGAAGGGCATGAGAGAAACTGCATCTATGAGCCAAACACTTCCCACCAGTTTCTTCCCTCATAACCTAGGAATTATAATTCAATATGAGATTTGGGTGAGGACACAAAGCCTAACACACACCCCTGCTTTTTTCTGTTTTCCATTTGCTTGGTAAATTTTCCTTCACCCCTTTATTTTGATCCTCTTTGTGTCTTTGCATGTGAGATGGGTCTCTTGAAGACAGCATACCAATGGGTCTTCACTCTTTTTCCAGCTTGCCACTCTGCGTCTTTTAGGTTGGCCATTTAGCCCATTTATATTTAAGGTTGATATTGTTATGTGTGAACTTGATCCTGTCATCATGGTGCTAGCTGGTTACTATGCAGACTTGTTTATGTGGTTGCTTCATAGATTCACTGTGTGTTTTTTTAGTGGCTGGTAATGGTTTATCCTTTCCATATGTAGTGCTTCCATCAGGAGCTCTTGCAAGGCAGGCCTCATGGTGATTAATTCCCTCAGCATTTGCTTGTCTGGAAAGTATCTTATTTCTTCTTCATTTATGAAGCTTAGTTTGGCCAGATATGAAATTCTGGGCTGAAAATTTTCTTCTTTAATATCATTGAATATTGGCCTCCTATCTCTTGTGGCTTATAGGGTTTCCACTGAGAGGTCCACGTAAGACTTATAAGCTTCCCTTTGTAGGTGACCTGGCATTTTTTTCTGGCTACTCTTAACATTTTTTCTTTCATTTTGACCTTGGAGAATCTGATAATTATTTGTTTTGTGGTTGATCTTCTCACGGAGTATCTTACTGGAGTTCTCTGCATTTTCCGAATTTGAATGGTGGCCTGTCTTGCTAGGTTGGACAAGTTCTCCTTGATATCCTGAAGTAATGTTTTCAACATGGTTCCATTCTGTCTCTTTCAGGTACCCTAATCAGTCATAGGTTCGGTCTCTTTACATAGTACCATATTTTGCAGAGGTTTTGTTCACTCTTTTTCATTCTACTTTTTTTATTCTTGTCTGACTGTCTTATTTAAGAAGGATAGTCTTTAAGCTCTGAGATTCTTTCCTCCTTTTGGTATATGCTGCTACTGATATTTGTGATTGCATTGTGAAGCTCTTGTGTTGTGTTTTTTAGCTCCATCAGGTCAGTTATGTTTCTCTCTAAACTGGCTATTCTGATTGTCAGCTCCTGTATTGTTTTACCATGATTTTTACCCTCTTTAAACAGGGTTACAACATGCTTCTTTAGCTCAGTGAAGCTTATTATTATCCACCTTCTGAAGCCTACTTCTGTCAATTCAGCCATCTCAGCTTCAGCTCAGTTCTGTGCCCTTGCTGGAGAGGTGTTTTGGTCATTTGGAGGAGAAGAGGCACACTGGCTTTCTGAATTTGCAGCATTTTTGCATTGATTCTTTTTCATCTTTGTGGGCTTTTCTTCCTTTGATCTTTGAGGTTTTTGGCTTTTGAATGGGGTTTTTGTGAGGTCCTTTGTGTTGATGTTGTTGCTTTACTTGTTTTATTTCATTTTTTTTTTTTAACAGTCAGGCCCTCTTCCACAGGGCTTTTGAGTTTGCTGGAGGTCTCCTCTGGACCCTAGTAACCTTGGTTTTTCCCGTACCTGAAGGTGTCACCATTGAAGGCAGAAAAACAGCAAAGATGGCAGTCTGCTCTTTCCTTGAAAGCTCTGTCCCAGGGAGGTGCTGACCTGTTGCCAGCCAGAACATACCTGTAGGAAGTAGCTGGAGACCCGTGTTGGTAGATCTCACCCAGTCAGGAGGAGCAGGATCCGGTAATCACTTAAAGAAGCAGTATGGCTGCTTTTTGGTACAGCAGGTGTGCTGTGTTGTGGGGATCCTTCCTCATTCAGACTGGATTCTTCCAAGCTGGCAGGCTGAAATGGCTAAGTCTACTGAACCACAGAGATGGTGGTCATCTCTCCCAGTGAGAGCTCCATCCCAGGGATCGATCAGAGCTTTGTTCATAGAACCCTTGCTGGAGTGTCTAAAGCTTCCACAGGGAGGTCCTGCTTAAAGAAGCAGTCTGGCCACTGTCTGGCAAGGCAGTTGTACTGTACTGTGGGGGGCTCTTCCTTGTCTGAATTTGTATTCTCCAAAGCTGGCAGGCTGGAATGGCTGAGTCTACTGAACTGCAGAGATGGCAGCAGCCCCCGCCTTCCCCTCACCCAGGAGCTCCATCCCAAGGAGAGATCGGAGCTCTGTCCATAGAACCCTTGCTGGAGTGGCTGAAGCTCATGCAGGGAGGTCTCACCCAGTAAAGAGGAATGGATCAGGGTCCTGATTAAATAAGCTGCCTGGCCATGATCTAGCAAGGCAGCTGTGCTGCATTGTTGTGGATTTTTCCTCATCTGGACTGTTTGTATTCCCTAAAGCTAGCAGGCTAGAATGGCTGTGTCTACGGAACCACAGAGATGGCAGCCATCCCTGGCCCTGGGAACTCAGTCCTGACTCAGGCAGACTTTAGCCTGTTGATGTTGGCTGGTTGGAATTCCAAGTCACTGGGTCTTAACTTGTGAGATGCCATGAAAGTGGGGCCTGCAGAATGATGCTGCTTGGCTCCCTGGATTCAGCCCTCTTCCTAGGGATATGTATGGTGAATCTCTCACATTGTGCTAAGGATTCAAGGGCCAAAGTATGTAAAGCTCCTGGGTCTCTGTGTGTGCCTGAACAGCTGCTCTGTTGAGACTCTACCCAGCTCTATGTACTGGACCCAAGGACCTGGTGGCATGGGCTCACAAGGGCATCTCCTGATCTGTGGGTTG
This sequence comes from Homo sapiens, assembly GCF_000001405.40. Classification (NCBI taxonomy): domain Eukaryota; kingdom Metazoa; phylum Chordata; class Mammalia; order Primates; family Hominidae; genus Homo; species Homo sapiens. The sequence goes on along the minus strand of NC_000006.12, from coordinate 92,507,815 downwards.
TAAAGATCCATGGGAAAAGTGTGGTTTTCCAGGCAGGGTTGCACAATCACTAACCACTTCCCTTGGCTAGGGGTGAGGGTTCCTTTGGCTCCATGCCTCTCCTGGGTGGGCTGTCACTCCTCTCTGCTTTTCACCGTTCTCCGTGGGTTGAGCTGTTTGCCTAGTCAGTCCCAATGTGAAAACCTGGATATTTCAATTGAAGGTGCTAAATTCAATTGCTCCTTTTATTCCTTTCTGTGAGTGGCATGGATTGAAGCGGCTTTTAATCAGCCATTTTGATGCCTCTCCAATTTTCTTTTCTTATGTTATTGTTTATCCTCATAAAGTGATTAGCAAAATATTTCTACTTTTTCAATTTTCTGAAATAGTTTAGTAGAATTGGTATTATTCCCTTCTTAAACATTCAGTAGAAATTGCCAGTGGAGCCCTTTGTGCCTAGTATTTGTGGAAAATTTTTATTTGCAAATTAAAAAAAAATAATGAATATAGGGTTATTTGGGTTATTTCTCTTGAATGAACTTTGGTAGCATGTGTCTTTCAGAAAATTTGTCTTAAATGAGAAGTTTATCTATTTTCATTTAATTTTTCAGTTTTATTGGATAAAGTTGCTTATCTTTTATGGTTTGTAGAATCTATAACTTACTTCTATCTTTCTTGTTATTATAATTTCTGTCTTTTTTTTGAATAGGAGAGTGGTTTACCAACTTTATTGATCTTCTTGAAGAAATAACTTTATATTTCATTAATTTTCTCTACTGTTTTACTGTGTTCCAAATCACTGATTTCTTTCTGATCTTCATTATTTCCTCTTTTCTTATTCAGGTTTAATTTTCTTTCTTTTTCTAGCTTCTTGAGCTAGAAGCTGAGGCTACTGATTGTAGTTCCTTTCTTCTTTTCTATCATCAACATTTAATGATACAAATTCTCCCCTAAGAATTGCTTTAATGACATTGCAGAAATATTGATATATTGTGTTTTGTTCTCATTCATTTCAAAATATGTTTAATTTCTCTCTTGATTTCCTCATTAACCAATGAGTTATTTCAAAATTTTATTTACTTATTCCAATTATTTTGTTATTGATATCTAATTTAATTTCATTGTAGCCAGAAATCATTTTAGGTGACCCAGATTCTTTTATATGTATTGAGAGTTGTTTTGTGGCCAAGAATATAATCTATCTTAATGAATATTTTATGTACACTTAAAAATAATGTATGTTTTTCTGTTTTAGGTTGAGTGCTCTATAAATGTCAACAAGGTCAAGCTAGCTGAGAGTTATACTAAGTCTTTTACATTTTATATTCTATTTGTGAAATCAGTTATTGAGCAAGGCGGGTAATAATATCACTATCAAAAATTATAGATTTAATTATTTATTCTTGCAGTTTTATCAGTTTTTGCTTTATATATTCTGAAGCTATGAGACTGAAACACAGATTTTACAGTGATTGTATTCTCTTGATGCATTGGCCCCTCTATCATGCTCAAAGGGCCTTTTTTTATCTCTGGTAATATTCTTTGATCTAAAATCAATGTATCTCATGTCTGAGATTAATATGATCATTCCAGCTCTCTCTTTCTCTCTCTCTCTCTCTCTCTTTACTATTATTATTATTATTATTATAGATGGAGTCTTGCTCTGTTTCCCCTCAGGCTGAAGTGCATTGGCACCATGTTGGCTCACTGTAATCTCCACTTCCTGGTTCAAGTGATTCTCCAGCCTCAGCCTCTCGAGTAGCTGGAACTACAGGTGTGAGTCAACATGCATGGCTAATTTTTGTATTTTTTGTAGAAACAGGGTTTCACCATGTTGCCCAGGCTGGTCTCGAACTCCTGAGCTCAAAGAGATCCACCTACTTCAGCCTCCTAAAATGCTGGGATTACAGACATGAGCTACTGTGTCCAACCCCCATTCCAGTTCTCTTTTAATTAGTATTTACATGGTATAATTTTTACACTCTTTTCCTATTAGTCTTCTGTGTCTTCATATTTGAAGTACATTTCCCTGTTGTCAGCATATAGTCTGGCTTTGCTTCCTTATGTCATTGGCCAATTTATGTCTTTAATTGGAATGTTTAGACTATTTACATTTAGTGTGATCATCAATATGATCCGTTTTGAATTATTATCTTTCTATACGTTTATTATTTGTCTCATCTGGGATTTTTTACCTTTTAATTTTTTTCTGAATTATTATAAATGTATTGAATTTTTAATAAATCTTTTTTAATTTTTGGGGGCTTATTAACTGAACTATTATTTTATTTGTTACAATATGAATTATAACATTTATTTAACATAGGACAGTCTACTTGCAAGGGATACTATACCACTTTAGCTATATTATAAGAACATTATAACAATATACATTCATTTCTCCCAAAAGATGGTGTTGTCAAATCTTTTAGCTATAAAACTTTACACTACATTTTGATTTTTATTTAAGTACTATCTCTTAAAGATGTCTAAACACAGTCACATACCACATAATGACGTGTGGTTCACAACAGACTGCATATGCAATGGTGGTCTCATAAGATTATAATAGAGCTGAAAAATTTATCTTGCTTAGTAATGTGGTGGTAATGTCATGACAGAACATATTACTTTTACTATGTTTAGATATATTTAGATACACAAATACTAACCATTGCATTATGTTTGCCTACAGTATTCAGTATAGTAACATACTATATGTGTTTGTAGCCTAGATGATCTCTCTTCTCTTCTTGTTACCTCAGTTACACATGTATTATTAATAGATTGCTTGAAGTTGTACCACAATTTATTGATGATCTATTCTCTCTTAAAAACATTCTCCTTTCTCTTTCTGTTTCACTTTTAGATAGTGTCTATTTTTATATCTTCAAGTTCACTATTCTTTTCTTCTGCAATATCTAATTGGCAGTTAACACAATCTCATATATTTTTTATCTGACACATTGTAGTTTTCATCTTTAAATGTTCAGTTTGGGGCTCTAACACCCAATTATCTACTTCAATTCTCAATACATATAACACTTATAATGACTATTTTAATTCCTTTGTCTGCTACTTCTATTCTAACATCTATATCAGCTCTGTGTTTGTTTTGATTGACTGGTTAATCTCTCCCATTATAGGGTACATTTTTCTCCTTCTTTGCTTGCCTGTCAAGTTTTTATTGCATGGCAGACACTGTAAATTTTAACTTGTTGAATGCTGGATATTTGTGTATTCAGTAAGAATACAGTTTGATCCTTTAGGGTCCTGCTTTTCAGATTTGATATAGAAGACCATAGTTGTGCTGAACTGAGAGCTAATTATTCTCTACTACTAAGGCAAGACACTTCTGTGGGCTCTACCCATTGCTTCATAAACCCTGAGGATGCCATCTGCTTTGGGGGAACAAGAAAAATTTTCTGGTCATGTGTGAGTTCCAGGAACGTTTCCTCCAAACTTTCTGTGCTTCTTTCCCTGGCCCTGGGCAGTTTCCCCCTCATACATGTCTCAAAAAAGTGCTGATCAGTACTTAGTTGAATATTATAGGGGAGTGCTTCACAGATCTTGAGTTCTTTCTATATACAGCCCTCACTTCTCTTGTACTCGGTTCTATGAACTCTAGCCACATGAGCCTCCTCCGAATTCAACCTCTGTCTCCTCAACTCAGAAACCACTGGGTTTTTTCTGAATTCCCCTCTTCCTGTGCAACTACAAAACTTCTTAAAGTAGTAAGCTAAGCCAATAATAAGGCTTATTTTATTTGTTTTCTGTATCAGTCAGGTAGCACTCTCCTTTGTTGCCTGATGATGACTCCTATGGCGACTTCATTTTGTTGTTTCAACCAGAAAGGTATATTCAGTTCCAACTACTTGATCATGGCCCTCATTTTTTTATTATAATAATTCAAATGTGGCAGTTGATTGTCTAGGAATTTATTTTGTCACACCTTATGTTATATTATGACATTACCACAAGTAAAACTCCTTGATCCGTCTGATCTGCTACTCCATATGCTGCTATATCTAAATAGAATGGATCTCCCTTGATGAAATGTTGTTTCCTGCTCCTCCAGACTCCACACTTGACTGTACAATGCACACAAATTTCTTTTAAATATTAGCTGTGATAATTGTTTATAAATGGGATGAACAATTAAATCTGTACTATGTATTTTTCAGAGTTCAAAAGGAAAATACTTAAGTGAAATAAAGATTATTGTTATGGGCTTAAACTCAATTACTAAACATACAGTTCCTCCAGCACACCTCACTTCTTCAATTGCTCCTTGCAAATTTTACTCCACTGCAAGAAACCCCAATAAAGTCAAGTTCTTACTTTCTAGATTTCTTATGTATTATGTTATTATATTTCTAAGGTTTGATTCACTCTATCTGCATAACACCCAGGAGACTTTACCAGGACAATCTTTCTTTTTTTTTCTTTTTTCTTTTTCTTTTTTTTTTTAGACTTAGTCTCACTCTGTTGCCAGGCTGGAGTGCAGTGGCACGATCTTGGCTCACTGCAACTTCCACCTCCCGGATTAACGCGATTCTCCTGCTTCAGCCTCCTGAGTAGCTGGTACTACAGCCATGCACCACCATGCCCAGCTAATTTCTGTATTTTTAGTAGAGACGGGATTTCACCATGTTGGCGAGGATGGTCTTGATCTCTTGACCCCATGATCCGCCCACCTCCCAAAGTGCTGGGATTACAGGCATGAGCCACTGTGCCCAGCCTTCTAGGACAATCTATAATGCCTATTACTATCCAAGATTCTCTAGAATAAGGGTATGAAAGAGGTTCTTTAGTTTTAATTTCAAGTCTCATTATTCAGGGTGTGTATGAGTTCTCCCATTTGGGTTTGTCTTTCACTGTGTTTTAACCAATATTAATTTTTTTAATGGTCACAAATGCATTATCATTGGGTGACCACAAGCTTATCCTCCAAAGCCTGTAATTTGAGAGTGAAACAACATATGTAAAATGTTACTGCTCTAGGCAAAACAAATGTGAGATTACCTTACTTAAAATTGGGTAAACAGCCTCCTCCATAAAGTCGCTATTTTTTATTAATGCAATAAATTTATTTTATCGTTTCTCATTAGAATCTGTTTAAACAAAATCTCTTGAGTTACACAGAGATACATATTGAAATGACCATGTTAGTAAGCACTCCATTACATTGTTGCCAAATGCCCTTTTACTCTTGAATCTCCATTTTTTTAGTAAAGGAAGAAATGTCTCCATCCTTATCTATCATTCTATCTATCATCTTCAATAAACCATAAAGCATAAAAATAGATTATTTAGAAATAGTATATGGAAAATTGAAGAAAGATTTTTGAAGAACCTCAGACTAATCCTTTATATGATCTGAAGCATTATGGATATGTGTTAATTATGAAAATATTTATAAATATGTATAAGCTACAAATGAATATTTAATTAATCTAGATGTGATGAATATGAGGAACAAAATAAATCATGTACAAAGTGGGAAATGTGGCCCCTCTTTTATTGCAGAAAACAACTGCTTCCGCTTCACTGACAGCCAAATGCAGGAAAGAACCTAAGTACAATGTTAAATTTAATTATGTTATAGTACAATCCTGGTAAAGTGACATATTTGGAGACAAGTAAGAGACAGTAAGGAAATTTTACCTCCTTTACAATTTACTTAGGAGCCTTAATTATAAACATTTTCTGTCTTGGAAAAATAATGCATTTAAAAGGCAACTGACCACTTAAATAGAATATTTGCACCAAATATGACAAGGGGACAATAATCAATTGTAATGTGGTCCATACATTACCAAGAATACAATAGTATTCATGGACAAAATACAAAAGACATGAATGAACAATGCACAGAAAAATAAATCTAAGTGACCTATGTACAGATGAGAAAATATTCTCCAATATTTGAATATTAACACAAATTATTTTTTCAATCAACTAGGAGTAGGCAATCACTTTTATAAAATGATAATAAGGCATACATTGGCATAATCTTTCTAGAAAGCAAATTGCCATAATCTACTAGAGGTTTTAAAAACTTAATATCTTTTTCTCTCAGAGATTTACACCCCTAGAAATTTGCCTTAAAGATCGAGATTTGTAAAATAGTTTTCTATATTTCTAAATGCTACATCTTTATAATCAGAAAGGAACAGTAAATGTTAGATTGAAACCCCACAGCAAATAGCAACATCTACTGTAACTGATACTGCTCAGGTAAATGAAGGAATACAGCTAAAAACTAAACTGTATTTTATGTTATTCCCGTTATATTATATGTTAATAGGAAAATATAGAGTCAAAAAATGTAAGTGACTATAGACACTCACTCATGGTAAGATCTTGTTTAAGGAGAACTTTCGGGAAATGAATCAATTTTTTTCCAGACTAGTAAGATTTAGCTGCATTTCTGGTTGGTGGCTAGAAACTCAACATGTTTGAAATGTTATTTATAAAAAATACCCTTCCATACACATAGACCTGAAGACAAGGAAGTACAAAAATAATGGCTTACTGGACATAATAAATGGCATAAGGCTCAGACATTAATAGCAAAAGCTATTTACTCATAGAGGTCATGTACTAAAAGATATTTATTGTATGTCTTACCCTATTAGTGATAATAATAATGATAGCTACTATTTATTGAGAATCTACCATAAGCTACAAACTTTGTATATACTATGTCTACTTACAAAAATGCTGAAAATTGGGTCTTAAAGCAAGAATTTTATAAATATGGAAACTGAGTCAAAGCAATTCTTTAGAAAACTGATAGAAATTATACACTATCGAATAACTGAAGCCAAGATTTGAGAATAGGTTTCCTTAATTCTGAAGTCAAAGGCTTTTCAAATTATTTCTGAAGGCTCTTTGTTCTTAAATGTGAACAAGGAACCTAATGGGTTCCTGTACACTACCTCTCACCCCCATCCCCCATAACATACAAGAGTAGCTCTCTTTTGATCTGCTTTACATATTGGAGTGCTTGAAAAGATTTAGTTTAAAAACAATTGAGGCCGTCAGACAAAAAGCAGTGCACCTGACAGAATCACCTCTCTGTCCTTTCTCTCTCCTCTTCTTCCCCATTGCCCCCCTCTCTCTCCTCTTCTCTGCTATTTCTTTCCACAGTCTTTCACTCCCTTGTAAAGACCCCTGAAGCTGAAACAAATAATTAAGCATAGGTATAAAAATGAAATCTGTTAACATTTATCATTTAGGTGAAATGTAAAAAAAAATTGCTGAACTCTACTTGTTTCTAAAACCTGGAATTCAGTTAAATTGTCAATGTCAGTAGATAGCTTTGCAGCAGCTTTTCTGCAAGACTTTATTTATCTGGTCTAGGAGCAATGGTTGGAAATTGTAGCTTTATTAAATGTCATTGAGGTCAATGCAAGATTTGTGTGCTGATGGAATATATGTGTCCCCAAAGTCTTGCCAAAATAACAATTCTGAGTGCAATTAGAGAGAATTATTGAAACTGCAACTGGATTTAGGGTTCAAATTCATAGATTAAAGTGGATGTACTTAAATCCTCTATAACACATAACAGAGGTTCTTAACCCTGAGGGTGAATCAGAACTATTAGTGTCATTTTTAAATAACAAACAGGCATGAGATTCACTCATACTCACTGAATCAGAATTTCTAGGAGTTACCATTGTATCTCTAATTTTAAAAGCTCTGTAGATAATTATGAAACATGTTATTAAGATAAATTTAAATATAAGATAACTGAAAGTGGTATACACCATTTCAATATTCTGAAGGGGTATATATACACACACACACATATATATATATATATGCATCCCTACATACATGTAATGTTTACATACAAGTTCCACAGTTAACATATTGATTTCTTCTTATGCCTTTAATTAGGAATAATCTGCCTTTCATTTTGCTTTTACTTTGTTTCTAATAGCTGAGATTTAATTTTGACTCAGGCTAAAATTTTAAATTGACAAGGTCAGTGATAATTATAACGAGACAGATTCTCACTGAGATGTTAATGTATTGAACTGAACTCCTTTTAATATTAATGGGACCTCAATGGGAAGATGACAGTGATAAGTATGTAATACAAGATTTCTTCCTAAAATAAAAGACAGTTTAAAAAATGTAAAAGCATTTTATTTGTTTGCAACATAAAAGGAAATTCTTATTTAAATTATTATTTTAAATAATTAACTAAAATTCTATAATGGTATATATTTGTTTCTTGTGTTTAACACTTATTTCATTATCTTAAAATTAATATGCAGGCATAGATTATTATAGCTACAAACTAAAGAGGTGTTGGATGACTGAGTATATCTTCATGAACCAGCATAAAAGGAATCTAGAAAGAGGGCAAAAGTCCTACTAATTTATTAGTTGAATTTACTCTGGCACAAAATGAAAGCCTATTTTCTAAAAGCTTAAAATTGGTTTTCTACTTTTAGTAACTCAATTTACATGGAAGATTGCAGACAATTTTTGCATATCTGGTTACTAATTGTTCAAAGAATATTTGGATCTAGCCTTTTCATCTTCTATCAAATAATATCTTATCACATTCCCATTTGATCAATAACATAAATTCATATGACATTTTATAATTCAATAAATGTGCTTCTTTTTGTTGCCACATTTAATCCTCATAAACATTTTACAAAGAAGTTAGATAGGTATTGTTAACTCTACTTGATAGATTAAGAATCTGGGTACTCTAAGCATAAAGACCGATGTGTTCTAGCTAAGAAGTGCTAATGTCAAGGTTGAAACAAAGGTCTCCAAGTTCATGAAATGAAGGGCCAAATTATAAAAAGAAATCAATTAATTTTTCTATTTATTGAAAAAACTTAAACAGATATAAATGAATCATAAAATAAATGAGTTGTGGAATTTTCTTTGAATTTTATCTAAGTTTTTCCCGTTTTTTTGCTGTATAACTTTGAGTTGGCTAGCAGTAAATTGACAAATTATATAAAAGTCTAAACAAGTAATCCAATTTCTTAATGATATATTGATCATCCTATTCTTATTTTCTTCTCATATTTTATATTCCTACATAAAATATTAACCACTCAGCATAGTAACTAGCACAAAGAAAGCACTCAAAAGTTAGAAATGTGATTTAGTTGTGTAAATATTATTGGTCATTTGAGGTATTAATTACCTATCATGAGATATTTCTATGAATTTCAATCAACTAGCAATCATTTAGGAAGTAATTTATCACAATTATTTGACATGCTGACATAGTATATATTAATAGTCTAGTATTATATTTAGTATGCAAATAAGAATACAAGCATATATTGACAAAATGTGAATACAAATAAATTGAAAGGTGTCATTGTGATTCTATTGCACAATTTACTTTTATATTTATCAGTGAGGCTGATAATACAGAGGGGACTTCTACTGTAATCCCAACTAACCTATGCAAAGTATCATTCTCCTTACCGTTCTCATGATGTTTGTCAGATCCACTTAGAAATTTCAAGAACTTCTGGTCGGGCGCAGTGGCTCACACCTGTAATCCCGGTACTTTGGGAGGCTGAGGCGGGTGGATCACCTGAGGTCAGGAGTTCGAGACCAGGCTCACCAATATGGTGAAACCCTGTTTCTACCCAAAATACAAAAATTAGCTGGGTGTGGTGGCATGCGCCTGTAGTCCCAGCTCCTTGGGAGGCTGAGACAGGAGAATTGCTTGACTCCAGGAGGTGGAGGTTGCAGTGAGCCAGGTTGGTGCCACTGCACTCCAGCCTGGGCAACAGAGAGAGACTCCATCTCAAAAAAAAAAAAAAAAAAAAAAAAAAACAAAAAAGAAGGAAAGAAAGAAAGAAAAAAAATTTCAATGACTTCTTAATAAAACTAATTGTTAATAGTAATTCCACTTATCCTTTCATAATTTTAGTCATTACCAAATTCTCTTACCTGCAACAATCTCATTAAAAATAAACTGCAACCAAATGATTAATAATTAAAAAATCAAAATGTATATATTTCACAAATCTACATTTATAAAATAATTATTTTGATTAGTAATGTTGGGCTAAAGTGGGAGTTAGGGGTAATAAATGAGACAGGAATAGATTGTAGGCTGAAATTTAGATATAAGGAGAGAAAAAAGGCTAAATACTAGATCGTTCTTGACATTATATAAAGGACATTCTACTTGAATACGAGTTGTGATGTAGTTTTGTAAAAACTATAGCATTTATTTATTTGTAACACAAAGAGTTTTATTATACTGCTAAAATGAGCATTTATAATCTTGAAAGACATTTTAAGACTAAATATAATATACTCAATTATAGAGTTCATTATGCCTCTGGGCATAAAGAGAGAGATTTAAAAAGCTTGTTAAAAAGAACATCCAGAAAGCTGGGATGGACTACAAAGCCACCTTTCACAAGAGATCAGGTACAAGATCCAACATCACTTAACAGTGTGTGGCTTCTCTCACAGAAATAAGAAAACAGGGTTGGAGTTGGGATTCTTAGTGTTACATAAAAGGAAATTGTATTATTTCATACATGTATGTACACTTCTTGCATATTATCAGCTTATATGAATAAATAAAATATTAAATAAAATAAGGAAAATAAAAAAATTGAAATGCATTAATCAGTTTACAGTTTTTCAAATCAGACATCTTTTCAGTTTTCAACAATGAAGAAAACCTGTTCTGAATTTTGATAAGTAGAATCACCAATTATTAAATCACCAATTGGGAGCCAGGCCATTACATAGTTAACAATTGGTCATTTAAAATACATTTTCAAAGATTTATAATGTATGTATAGAATGATTATATAATTGTGACTTTTTCAAAGAAATGTGCATATGTTATAAGGTAATGATGAAATTTAGCTACCAAAAATATATTTTCTTCTGGACAAATTTTAAAATTAGTGTGGGTAATTTGTTTGTGTTTTAGTCCATTTTGTTTTACTACCAAAGAATCCTCTAACAGAGTAATTCGTAAAGAAAAGAAGTTTAGTTCATGCATCTGCAAGTGAGAAGTTCAAGGGCATGGTCCTGGCTTCTGGCAAGGGCTTTTGTGCTGTGTCACGTGGCAAAGAAAGTCAAAGCAGAAGTGGACATGTGTGAAAAGAAGAAAACCCTAGCTTTATCATGACCTACGCTTGTGGGAACTAATTCATTCTCAAAAGAACCAATCCAGTTTTGTGAGAGCAAGAACTCATTGCTATGAGAACAGCACAGAACCATTCGCAAGGGATTTGCCCCCATAATGCAAACATCTCTCAGTAGGCTTTAACTCCCAACACTGCCACACTGGGGATCAAATTTCAACATAAGCTTGGTGGCAACAGACAAACCATACCCAAACCATAGCAGTTTGATTATTACTGACTCAGTGAAAAAATTTTAAGACCTTTTCTCTTGAAACAATTTATCATGTTAACTGATATTCTACCATTGTCTTCTTATTTAATTACTTTTAAAAACTAGTATAGATTATTATAAACACAAATACAATTACTGGTAGCCAAGGCACAATTAATGGCCATGAATAGTAACTGGTTCCTCTTAGACCCTGCTACTCCTCAGGTCTCATCAGTTGGTTACGCTTACCAAGTGCTAGTTGAATTTGTATACAAGTCTGTTTATTTCAGTTCTTCTTATTATTGTCATAACATTGTTCAAATATGTAAAACAATGAAAGATAGTTGAAAAATAGAGACTTGTTACTCTGAATGTTATAGTAAATGATTTTAAAAGACTTTAAAAAGGTCATTACTTTAAAAAAAAAGCTGCTAAGATACACATAGACGAGGTAATTGAAAAAAAGTAGATGAATTTATTATCAGGAAAGATTTGCCATTCAAATTTGGCCTCACAAATCTCCCTACCCATTAAAGGAAACAGCACTGGAATACAGAGCTAGAATTAGGGATGAAGTTTGTGGAAGAATGACTACACAGAATTCAAAGCAGCAGATCCATGCTCAAAGGAAAGGTCCTGAAAATGCTGGTAAATGAATTTTCAGTTAACATGTTTAAAACTTTGATGAAAAGTTAAGTAGACATGTTTATATTCTTCCCAATTAATCAACAATAATTTATATTTAACAAATAGTCCTAATCACTGGAGAAAAAAATTCAACAATAATTCTTTCCTAAAAAACACCAAATCATCAACTGAAAATGCTTTGATTAGAACCAATAAATAGAAAGTTACTGAAAGGTCAGTGATGAAGAATGTGGCTTCTGAACAAAATTTCTTGGTTGGATGTAAAAAAAGAAAGCAATTTAGCCTCGCCTAGAGTATATGGTACAATGGAATACTGTCTACAGATAGGATGCTCAGGCACTAGACACTTGTGAAACACATTGGAATCTGCAGCCACTGCCAAGTTAACCAACACAATTCTTGTAAGTGTTCCTGCTCTTTTGTCCTTTCAACACTTTTGAAATGTATTTATTTTTCTTGTAGTGATCTTTACTGCTATGCACATTAATTACAATCTATTGACTCCAAGTCTAGCATTACACAATACAGCATAAAGGTTTTTCTTAAGAAGAAAATAGCTGTCATTTATAGTTTTTATTCCTTCTTTCCTTTCTCTTTTTCATCGTTTTTTTTTCCTCAGTTGCAGAGCTTTGGGTTTAAAGTATGCATATATAATACCACATAGCCAGCATTCATCTAAACAATGAACAGCTCTTAAGAATGTCTGTGTGTGTGTGTGTATCAACAATATTCCCTGTTTTTCTCATTCCTTTTTTGCTCTGTCGAAAGCAGCCAACAGCTATCTGAATAACTTTACTATATATCTTATATATATGCCTTAATATGTGTATTTGCTTATTTATACATTTGTACATGAGGTTAAACAACACCAAAGAACAAACAAACAGAACAACAAAACAAAACAACAAAAATGCAATATCTCAAACCAGACAGAGGTTTATTTTTCTCTCTCATATTGTAGTCTGGGGTTGTTCCAGGTTTTTGAGTAGTGACTTAGGAACCTGGGTTTCTTCCACCTTGTTCCTGGGTCATTTCCTTCAGAGACGTACTTTTTATACCTGTAGCCGGCTGCAGCTGATAGGAAAGAGAAAAAAGTTATGGAAGGCTAGTATGGGAGAGTCAGCCAACTGCTTAAGGGCCTCAACCCAGAGAGAGCACAAGTATAATCACTCAGAATCCACCATCAAGAACTTGGTAAAATGGCCACATCCAGTACCTTAAGGCCTGGGAAATATTTTCCTAGGCAAGTGATCACATCTCAGCTTCAGTCTGTTACTGTTAAAGAAGGGAAGAACAGATTCAGAGGAAAAATTTGCAGTGTCATTCATATATATCTTTTTAATTTACACAAATATTTGTAAGTCACATATCACTTTGTTTTTTTTAATTATCATTGTGTATTTTAAACCTATCCATTGTGTATGTGTGTGTGTGTGTGTGTGTGTGCGCGTACGTTGAGTCTATTATTTCTAACTAGTCATCTACCACATTGGGAGTCATGGTAGTCATCTACCACATTTTGTCCAAATCTTCTCTAATGAAAGATATTCAGATTTATTTCAAATTGCTGCCACCACAAACAATACCAAAAGAAACATCCTTATGAATATTGGGTGTGGATGTGGTGGTTTGATTAAAGAGTCCAACACTGATTTCCAGAAATTTAGTACAGCAAAAAGATGACTCACAATTCCACAATTTATCAAAATTTGGTGATGTGCAGCTTTCTAATTTTGTCTGATTAATAGTATAAACTAGTATTTTATTGTTAGTTTAATTTTTATTATTCTAATTTCTTGAGTACGAGCCTGTGTTCATATCCTTGATAGCATTTTACTGTTTCTCTTCTATACATTGTTTACTTACTGCTTTTGTTTATTTTTCCACTAGAATTTTTAAAAAGTGGTTTGAGGCCAGGTGCAGTGGCTCACGCCTGTAATCCCAACACTTTAGGAGGCCGAGGCAGGCTGATTGCCTGAACTCAGGAGTTCGGGACCAGCCTGGGCAACACAGTGAAACCCTGTCTCTACTAAAATACAAAAAATTAACTGGTCATGGCAACATGTACCTGTAATTCCAGCTACTGGGGAGGCTGAGGCAGGAGAATCACTGGAACCCAGGAGGCAGAGGTTGCAGTGAGCCGAGTTTGCACCACTGCACCCCAGCCTGGGTGACAAAGACAGACTCCATTTCAAAAAAAAGCGGTTTGAATGGATTTCTTGTATATTTCATCTATTAGCCGATTGTTCACATACTTTTTTTTTCTCAAATTATCATCACTTCTTTATGGATTCTTTTATTGTATTTTTCTTTCAAATTTGATGACATAAATTTTGCTTGCTTTTGTCTTACAGTCTATGATGTTAAAGTTTTGTTTAAGAAATCCTTTGCCACTCTTTTGTATCAAAGTTATTGTCTCATTTTTTTTCTCTTAACTTCATAGTTGTTACCTTTAGTATTTGGGTCTTATAATACCCATGGATTCCTTCCCCAAAGTATTAGTAGAAATCTATGTTTATGTTTTTCTCTAAAGTAAGGCAGTTTTCCCAACACCATGTACTAAATAATCTTTCTTTTTCTCATTAATGTTTGGAACTAACTTCATCAAAATATGTTTTGATTTTTTTTTACATTCATAGATCTGCTTTGAGTTCTTCACCCAGTTGTAACAGTATCTTTGTAATATGTCTTCATATATGCAGGGATGGAGATCAGGGCTCTTATTTTCAGGGTTGATTTGGTTATTCGTGACAATATATTTACATAAATTTTATAGTAAGTTTGTTACCTTTAATGGCAAAAACCACAATTACTTTGGCACCAACCTAATATATGTTGATTACTATATATATTGACTATATTTTCCAGCAAGTTATTGTAAATGTAAAAATATGCTATTGATTTCTTTTATCTTACCACGTATCAGTCAAGTTGCTGAAATCTTAATTGCTTAATTTGTTCACTTGGTTACTTTTTTCCAGGTAGATGGTTATGTCTCTGGCAAATAATAACAATCTATTTCTTCCTTTCCAAATGTTACGCCCATTCTTGTTATTTTTTTCCCCTTATAATGTTAGCCAGGCTCTCCATTATTATGTAAAATAGTGCTGAGATTGGGCATTGTTATATTTTCTATTAATGAGAGTGTATATAGTATCTACCTATATAATTTTTGCTATAGGTTTTTGGTACATAGCCCTCATCAACTTAAGGAAATTGCCTTCTATTCTTAGTTTACTAAGTGTTTCCTGAATAAATTAACAAATTTCATCATATATTAAATATGCACATAAGTAAATGAGTGTTGTACTTAAAGATTGTCTGCATCAATCATATTATTTTTCTCTTTAAGTACTTTAAAGTGGAACCACTCTGATGATTAAACTTATCTAATCATGATGCACATTTAATAATCCCATTTTGAATTTTTCAGCTAGTGTGTTTCTCAGAGTTTTGCTTTTACACTGTTGTGTCTGTAATTAGCTTTTTATTATGTTTCATGATGTAGCTTTGGAATCAATAATAACTTTATTAAAAAAGTACATTAAGACTTTTTCTGTTTCTAGAAAAATTCATATAAATTAGGAATTATTTATTCCTTGAAATTACTACATAAATCATCATTCAGACTTCTTTAGTGAGAGAGCATTGCCTTGAACTACCACTGCAAATTATTTAATAGTTATTGCTCTTTTTAAGTACTTTATTTTTTAGCTAAGTTAAATTTTTACCTTTTCCAGTTAATTTGATCTAGATTTCCAAATTTATTGGTATAGAATTTTTCATAGTATTCTGATTATTAAACATATATTAACATATGAATATTTGCATATATGTATTTATATAGTTAACATATGTATAATTATTTTCTTTTTTTCTGATTATTT
Source organism: Homo sapiens (assembly GCF_000001405.40). Classification (NCBI taxonomy): domain Eukaryota; kingdom Metazoa; phylum Chordata; class Mammalia; order Primates; family Hominidae; genus Homo; species Homo sapiens. Next base: position 92,491,934 of record NC_000006.12, on the reverse strand, counting down.
CTGCTCCCATTTTGTCTCATATATCTTGCTATATCTGTCTCTCCATCTGTCATCATCATCTATCATTCTCTGTCTCTATCTTTTGGGAGAACCACCTTGTTTTTGGTGTTAATATTTTCTACTTTTAAAAGTTTTTATTCCTCTGTGTTCTGTCTTGATTCCTTTTTTTTTCCAGTGCTGGAACAAAAAAATATCAACCCAGAAATCTATAGTGCATAAAAATATCTTGTAAAAATTAGGATGAATTGGCCGGGCATGGTGGGTCACATCTGTAATCCTAGCACTTTGGGAGGCTGAGGCACGCAGATCACAAAGTCAAGAGATCGAGACCATCCTGGCCAACATGGTGAAACCCCGTCTTTACTAAAAATACAAAAATTAGCTGGGTATGGTGGCTTGTGCCTGTAGTCCCAGCTACTCGGGAGGCTGAGGCAGGAGAATCGCGTGAACCCAGGAGGCGGAGGTTGCAGCGAGTCGAGATCATGCCACTGCACTCCAGCCTGGCAACAGAGGGAGACTCCTTCTCAAAAAAAAAAAAAAAAAATAGGGTGAATTAAAGACATGCTATGGTGAATGAATGCTGAGAATTCTTCGCAAGCAGAACTGTGCTACATAAATTACTACAGGAATGTATTCACGCTGAGGTAAAATTACATCAGATGAAAGTTTACATCTACAGTAAGAGCATTGGCAAGGCACATGGGCAGGTGAATGTAAAAGAATTCTCATATTCTTATTAACTTCTTAAAATGAATTTTTAATAGAAAATTATAACATTTTAAAGTAGCATTTTAAGATACAGTTAATAGAATACTATTAGCACAAAAGGCCGAGGAGAAATGTAATTATAATGCTATAATGATCTTATATTTAGGTGGAACAGTACAATATTTACTCAACAAAGACTATGAGAAGTTCAGAATGCATACTTAACATTTGCAATTGAGTTACTTTGTAACTTATACACTTTAGTCATTTCTATCAATTGCTAAAAACATAACACAAAGAAGTATATGGAACAAGGCAAAGAAATTGAAGCTTAAAACCAATTCACTTTTTCGCTGGCTGTGGTCGCTTAAACCTGTTATCCCAGAACTTTGGGAGGCTGAGGCTGGTGGGTTGCTTGGCGTCAGGAGTTCAAGACTGACCTGACCAACATGGTGAAACCCATATCTACTAATATACAAAAATTATCCGGGTGTGGTGTTACGCTTCTGTAATCCCAGCTACTCAGGAGGCTGAGGCACAAGAATCACTTGAACCCGGGAGGCAGAAGTTTTAGTGAACCAAGATTGTGCCACTGCACTCCAGCCTGGGAGACAAAGTGAGACTCTATCTTAAAAAAAAAACCCAAAACAAATACAAATTCACTTTATTAAACTAAAGAAGCAGGAACACAAACATATTGAACAAAGTGAAACAAATAATAGTATGGTAGACCTGAATTCAATCATATCAAGAGTTGCATTAAATATAAATAGAATAAATATATCAACTAAAAAGCCAAATTGTCAGATGGAGTGAAATATACAAGAGCCAACTATATTATATCTAAAGGGAAACTTTAAATATATATGCATATTTTAAAAACACTTTATATATATAGACACATATATATGCACTTAAAGGTGTGCCTTAGAGATTTAAAATAAATGAAGAAAAATAAAAATAAAGGGAAAAAGAGACAAATCCACAGTTAGATATCTTAGTACTCTCTTTCTAGTATTTTATATAAAACTAGCCCAAAGAAAAACACTGAGGATATAAACTGGAATGACATTATTAATTACATCAACTTATTTGATATTTATACAACCTATACCCAAAAACTGCAGAATTACATGTATTCCACAATAGTGCATTCTAGTGCACATGAAACATTCAGTAAGATAGATGATATGCGGGCCATAAAATAAGTCTCATTAAATGTCAAAAGCTTGAAATCTTGCTTCACATATTCTCTGACCACAAAGGAATTGGTTAAAAATCATTATCAACCTATCTAGAAAATACTCAACTATCTATAAATTAACCAACACCATATAAATAACTAATGAGGCAAAGAAAAATCAAAAGGTAAGTTGAAAATATTTTTGAGCTGCATAATAAAAAAATCACAACATACCAAAATGTATGGGAGGCAGGTAAGGTAGCACCTAGTGAAAAATTTGAGGCTTTAAGCACTTAGATTATGAAGAATAAGTGCTTAAGATCAATGGTATAATTTCCTGCATTAAGTTGGAAAACAGAAAGTAACTGAATTCCTAAGTAAGCAAAAGCAGGCTAAGAGAAGGTGTGGAATGGTGGCTCACACCTGTAATCCCACCATTTTGGGAGGCCAAGATAGACAGATTGCTTAAGCCCAGTTCAAAACCAGTCTGAACAAATGGTGAAACCCCATTTCTACAAAATAATACAACAATTAGCCAGATGTGGTGGCATGTTGCTATAGTCCCAGCTACTTGGGAGGATGAGGTGGGAGGATCACTTGATCCTGGAAGGCAGAGGCTGCAGTGAGCCATGATCATGCCATTACAGTCCAGCCTGGGTGACAGAGTGAGACCCTGTCTCAAAAAAAGGGAAAGTAGAGCAAAGAGGGATAGAGCAACAAGGCAGACTATAAGGATCCACTGATCACACCACCTGCCCCCCATGCCCCCACCTCAAGGACACCAATTTAACAAGCATCTAGAGTAAAAACAACTTTATAAGGACCAAAAATCAGGTGATTACTCACTCTATCTGCTTTTAACTGTATATCATTGAAAGAGACACTGAAGAATTAGGAGAAACAGTCTTGAATTGCCGATGCCACCCTGCCCCCCATCCCCAGGAAGTAGTGGCGTGGTATGGAGAGCAATTCTGTCTACTCGGAAGGGGAGAGCACAGAAATTTGGATGCACTGAACTCAGTGCTGCCCTGTTATAGCAGAAAGTAAAAATAAAAGAACAAACTCAGCTGAAGCCCACCACAGAGGGAGCTTTTAAACTAGACCTAACCAGAGGGGAATCACCGATCCTAGCTGTTTTAACTTGAGTTCCAACACGCTTCTCTATGGAGGGCTAAAATGCTCTGGGGCTATAAATAAACTTAAAAGGCAGTCTAGGCCACAAGGGCTACAGCTGCTATGCAATCCTAGTGATGAACCGTTTCCAGAGCCAGTGGACTGGGGGAGCATGCGACCTACTGAGATAACAGGCAGAATGGCAAAGGGACTGCTGTCATCATCCCTCCCCTATCCCAAGCTGCACAGTTAATGGCTCTAAAAGAGACCCCTTCCTTCTACTTGTGGAGAGAAGAGAGGAAAATGGGGAGGACTTTGTTTTGCATCTTGGGTATCAGCTCAGCCACAGCAGGATAGGACACAATCCAAAGTCATAAAGCCCCCTTTCCAGGCCCTAGCTCCTAGACATTTCTCAACACATTCTGGGTTAGAAAGAAACCCACTGCCTTGAAAGGAGAACGCAGTCGCAGGAGGATTCATCACCTGCTAACTAAAGAGCTCTGAGGCCCTGAAAAACCAACAGTGATACTCAGGAAGTATGTCATGGGCCTTGGGTGAGACTTCCTGGCTTCAGATGAGAATCAGAACATTGACAGTTGTGGTAGCTATGCAGCATGAATTTTTCTTTTTGACAAAAGCAGAGGAAAAAGTAAAGAGGACTTTGTCTTGCACCTTAAGTACCTGCTCAGTCACAGGGGATAGAGCATCAGCCAGGCTCTTGGGGTCCCCAGTTCCAGGACTCGGCTCTTGGGCAGCATCTCTGACCTGCTCTGGGCCAGATGGGAGCCCGGCTTCCTGAAGGGTGAGTCCCAGGCCAGGTAGCATTCACCACAAGCTGACTTAAGAGATGTTGGGCCTTTAGGGAACATCAGCGGTAGTCTGGCAGTACTTGCTGTCACCTGTGGTGGCAGGGGCTATGGAGTGAGGCTCCTCTGCCTGTGGAAATGGAAGGAAAGAGTGAGAAGAACTGTGTCTTGTGGTTTGAGTGCCAGCTCAGCCACAATACAATAGAATACCAGATAGACTTCTAAGCGTTTTGACTCTAGTCCTTGGCTCCCAGTTAGCACCTCTGGGCCCACCAGGGGCCTGGGGAATCTCACCACCCTGAAGAAAATGGTACAGGCCTGGCTGGCTTTGCTATCTGGTGATTGTAGAACCCCAGGGCCTTAAGCAACCATAAGCAGTAGCCAGGGAGTGCCTACAGCAGACATTGGGTGAGACATAGAGCTATGCTTGCTTTAGGTCACACCCAGCACAATCGTTGTGGTAGTGACCACAGGGTTGCTTTGTTACTCGACCTCCAGCTCCACATTACTTAGGAGAGAGAGAGAGAGAGACTCCACTTCTGCACTTGTTTGGGTGAAAGTAAGGGAAGAACAAGAATTTGTCTTTACTAAGCCAGATAATTCTTCCAGATCTTGCATAAGACTGTCATGGTGGTACTACTATGAGTCTGTAAGAACCACAAAATTCCTTGACCTGTTGTGCACCCTAAAACAGATGCAGCATAGATGACAACACCCAAGTCTGTCTGAATATCTGGAAAACCTTTTCAAGAAGGTTGGGTACAGACAAGCCCAGACTGCAAAAACTGCAATAAATACCTAACTCTTCAATGACCAGACACAGATGAACATCCGAGTATCAAGACCATCCAGGAAAACATGACCTTACCAAATGAACTAAAGTATCAGGGACCAATCATAGAGAAACAGAGATATGTGACCTTTCAGAAAGATAATTCAGAGAATACTATTTCTAATAGAGAAAAGAGCTATTTTGAGAAAACTCAAAAAAATTCAATGTAACACAGAAAATAAATTGAAAATTTTGTTATAAATTTAACAAAGACTTTGAAATAATAAGAATAAAGCAGAAATTTGGAGGTGAAAAATGCAACTGACATATTAAAGAATGCATCAGAGTATTTTAATAGTAGAATTGATCGAGCAGAAGAGCGGCTTCTTGAGCTTGAAGACAGGCTATTTGAAAACACACAAACAGAGGAGACAAAAAAGAATGAAGCATTCCTACAGGATCTAGAAAATAGCCTCAAATGACAAGTTTAAGAGCGGCCTCTAAGCAAAGGTAGAGAGAGATAAGGTGTGGGAAGAGGGGGCAGTAAGTTTATTTAAAGGGATAATAACAAAGAATTTTTCAAACTAAGAGAAAGTTATTAACATTCACATGCAAAAGGGTTATAGAACACCAATCAGATTTAACCAAAAAAAGACTATAATCAAACTCCCAAAAGTCAAATATAAAGAAAGAATTGTAAAAACAGCAAAACAAGAGAAATAAGTAACACACAATAGAGCTCCAATATGTTGGCAGCAGACTTTTCAGTGGAAACTTCAGCGGCCGGAGCAGGCTGTCATAATATATTTAAAGTGCTAAAGAAAAACAAACAAACAAACAAAAAGAAACTTTTACCCCAGAATAATATATCCAGTGAAGTTATCCCTCAAACTGAAGGAGAAATAAAAAGACTTTCCCTGACAAACAAAAGCTGAGGGACTTGGTCAAAGTCAGACTTATCTACAAGGAATGTTCAATGTTAAATGTTCAATCAGAAAGAACAGAACATTAATGAGCTGTAAGACATCATCTGAAAGTACAAAACTCACTCGTAACAGTAAGTACACAGAAAAATATGGAATATTATAACACTGTAGCTGTTGTATGTAAACTACTCCTCTTATGTAGAAAGCATAAAGATGAGTCAATAAAAATAACTACAACACTTTTCAAGACATAAACAATACAATAAGATATAAATAGAAACAATAAAAAGTAAAAAACTTGGAGGACAAAGTTAAGGCATAGAGCTTTTATTAGTTTTCTTTTTTGTTTTTTTTTTTGCTTGTTTGTTTATGTAAACAGTGTTAGGTTGTTTCAGCTTAAAATAATAGGTTATAAGATAGATTTTGCAAGCCTCATGGTAAATTTAAACCAAAAAATATACAATAAACATACTAAAAATAAAAAACAAATAACTAAATCTTATCACCAGAGAGAATTACTTTCACTAAAAGGAAGACAGGAAGGAAAGAAAGAAGGAAAAGAAGACCACAAAACAACCCAAAGGCAAATGATAAGATGTCAGGGTGAAAATATATAAATGTCCTTATTTAATAATTACATTGAATGTAAATGGACTAAACACTACAAGCAAAAGTGACAGGGTGGCTTAATTGACAAAACGATAAGACCCAATGTTCTGTTGCCTACAAGAACATATTTCATCTGCAGATACACACATAAACTGAAAATAAAGCAATGGAAAATATATTACAAGCCAATGGAAACCAAAGAGAACGGGAGTAGTTATATCAGACAAAACAGATTTTAAGACAAGGTCACTATATAATGACAAAGAGGACGATTCAGCAGAGGCTATAACAATTTTAAATATATATGCACCCAACGGTGCAGCACCCAGATCTATAAAGCAAATATTATTAGACCTAAAGAGAGAGTTAGATCACAATACAATAATAGCTGAAGAATCCAACACTCCACTTTCAGCATTAGACAAATCTCCCAGACAAATATTCAACGAAGAAATATTGGACTTAATCTGCACTATAGACCAAATGGACCTAATGGATATTTACAGAACATTTTATCCAATGGCTACAGAATACACATTAGTCTTCTCAGCACATGAATCATTCTCAAGGATAGAATATACATTAGGTGACAAAACAAAATAATTGATATAATATCAAGCATCTTCTCTGACCACACAGTGGAATAAAACTAGAAATTAATAACAGGAGGAATTTTGGAAACTAAAATCACGTGAAAACTAAAATAATATGTTCCTGAATAAAGTAGGTCAATGAAAAAATAAAGAAGAAAATTTTAAAAACTTATTGAAACAAATGATAATGGAAATACAACACAACAAAACCTATAGGATACAGCAAAAGCAGTGTTAAGAACATAGTTTATAGCTATAAGTACATATATCTAAAAAGAGAACAACTTACAGTAAAAAACCTAACAACTCATCTTAAGGAACTAGAAAAGCAAGAGCAAACCAAACCGAAAATTAGTAGAAGAAAATAAATAATAAAGATAGAGTTGAAATAAATGTAATTGAAATGAAGAAAACAATACAAAAGATCAATGAAACTAAATGTTGGTTTTCTGAAAAGTTAAATAAAATTGACAAATCCTTAGCCACACTAACGAGGGACAAAGAGAGAAGATTTGAATAAATAATCTCAGAGATGAAAAATGAGACGTTATAATTGATAACATGGGAATTCAAAGGAACATTAGTAGCTACTATGAGCAATTAAGTTGGAAATTCTAGAAGAAGTGGAGAAATTTTTAGACAAATACAACCTACCAAGATTCAACCCCAAATAAATAGACAAATTCATAAATACATACAACCTATGAAGCCTGAACCAGGAAGAAATCCAAAATCTGAACAGACAAATAACAAGTAACAAGATCAAAGCTGTAATAAAAAGTCTCCCTGTAAAGAAAATGTGGGACCTGATGGCCTCATTGCTGAATTCTAACAAGCGTTTAAAGAAGAACAAATACCACTTCTACTCAAACTATTGAAAAAAATATAGACAAGGAATGAATACTTGCATACTCTCTGTACAAGGTCAGTTTTACTCTGATACAAAAACAAGAAAAAGGCACATCAAAAAACAAAACAAAACAAAACAAAAAAACTACAGGCCAGTAGCTCTGGTGAATATTGCTGCAAAAATCCTCAACAAAATACTAGCAAACTAAGTATGTCGAACATTAAAAAGATCACTCATCATGACAAAGTGGGATTTATTCCTGGGATGCAAGGATGGCTCAACATATGCAAATCAATCAGTGCGATGCATCATATCAACAGAATGAAGTAAAAAAGCTATATGATCATTTCAACTGATGCTGAAAAAGCATTTCATAAAATTCAACATTCCCTCATAATAAAAACCCTCAAAAAACTAGGTATAGAAGGAACATGGCCAGGTGTGGTGGCTCATGACTGTAATCCTAGCACTTTGGAAGGCAAAGGCAGAAGGATTGCTTGAGTCAAGGAATTCAAGGCAGCCCGGCAATATAGTGAGACCTCATCTCTACAAAACATACAAAAAATTATCTGGGCATGGCGACACGTGCCTGTAGTCTCAGCTACTTTGGAGGTTGAGGTGGGAAGATCATTTGATCCTGGGAGCTGGTGGTTGCAGTGAGCCAACATTGCACCACTGCACTCCAGCAGAGTGAAATTCTTTCTTAAAAACAAAAGAAGGACTATATACGTCAACATAATAAAAGTCATGTATCACAAACCCACAGCATATATATCATAGTGAATGGGGAAAAACTGAAAGCTTTTCCTTTAAACTCTGGTACATGACAAGGATTCCCACTTTAACCGATGTTATTCAACATAGTGCCGGAAGTTCTAGCTAGAGGAATCAGAAAAGAGAAGGAAATAAAGGGCATCCAAATTGGAAACAAGTCCAATTATCCTTGTTTACAGATGATATGATCTTATATTTGGATAAACCTAAAGACTCAAAAAAATAAAAAAAAAGATTAGAACTGATAAACAATTTCAGTAAAGCTGTAGAGTACAGAATCAACATACAAATAACAGTAGCATTTCTATATGTCAATGGGGAACAATCTGAAAAAGGAATGAAAAAGGTAATCCCATTTTCAATAACCATAAATAAAAATCAATCTTAGGAATTAATTTAACCAAAAAAGTGAAAGATCTCTACAATGAATACTATAAAACACTTATAAAAGAATTTAAAGAGGGTACCAAAATAATGGAAAGATATTCCATGTTCATGGATTAAAAGAATCAACATTGTTAAAATGTCCTATTACCCAAAGTGTTCTACAGATTGACTGCAATCCCTATCAAAATACACATGACAGTCTTTACAGAAATAGAAAAAACAATCCTCTAATTTATGTGAATATAAAGAAAAGCAACCAACACAGAATATCAAAAGTTATTTTAAGCAAAAAGAATAAAACTGAAAGAATTACATTATCTGACTTCAAATTACACTACTGAGCTATAGTAGCCAAAACAGCATAGTACTGACATAAAAACAGACACATAGACCAATAGCACAATATAAAGAACCTAGAAACAAATCCACATACCTACAGTGGACTGATGTTTGACAAAGGTGCCAAATACATACATTGGGGAAAAGACAGTCTCTTCAATAAATGGTGCTGGGAAAACTGGGTGTTCATATGCAGAAGAATGAAACTAGACCCCTATCCCTTGCCATATACAAAAGTAAAATCAAAATGTATAAAAGACATAAGTCTAAGACCTCAAACAGTGAAAATACTAAAAGAAAACTTGGAACAAACTATCTAGGACATTGGTCTGGTCAATTGAATAATATTCCATAAGGACAGGAGACCAAAGCAAACACGAACAAATGAGATCACACCAAGTTAAAATGTTTCTGCACAGCTAAGGAAGCAGTCATCAAAGTGGAGGGACAACCTACGCAATGGGAGAAATATTTTGCAAATAACCCATCTGACAAGGGATTAATAATCAGGACATATAAGCAGTTCAAACAACTCTTTAGGAAAAAATCTAATAATTGAATTAAAAATTGGCAAAAGATGTGGATAGACATTTCTCAGAAGAAGACCTACAAATGGCAAACAGGCATATGAAAAGGTGGCCAACATCGTTGACCATCAGAGAAATGAAAATCAAAACTACAATCAGATGTCATCTCACCCCAGGTAAAATGGCTTATATCCAAAAGTCAGGTAACAAGTAATGCTGACAAGGACATCGAGAAAAGGTAATCCTCATACACTGTTGGTGGGAATGAAAATTAATATAACCAATGTGAAGAATGCTTTGCAGGCTCCTCAGAAAACTAAAAATAGAGCTGCTATGTGATCCAGCAATCCTACTGCTGTACACACCCAAAAGAAAGGAACTCAGTATATCAAAGAGACATCTGCACTCTCATGTTTGTTGCAGCACTCTTCACAATAGCCAAGATTTGGAAGCAACCTAAGTGGCCAGGAACAGATGAATGGATAAAGAAAATGTGGTACTTATACACAATGGAGTACTACTCAAACATAAAAATAAATGAGATTCAGTCATTTGCAACAACATGAATGGGACGGGACATCATTATTTTAAATGCAATGAGCTAGGCACAGAAAGACACACATCACGTGTTCTCACTTATTAGTAGGATGTAAAAATCAAAGCAACTGAACTCATGGTTAATGGATTAAAAAATTAACTAGAAAGATTAAAACCTAGTATTTCATAGCACAACATGGTGACTATAGTCAATAACAATTTAATTGTACATTTTAAAATACATAAAGAATATAATTGAATTATTTGTACCACAAAAGATAAATGCTTTAGGGGATGTATACCCTATTTTCTATGATGTTTTATTATGCATTTATATGCCTGTATCAAAACATTTTATGTACCCCCTAAGAATATATACCTACTATGTACCCAAAAAACTTTTAAAAAGGCAATAAAACTATGAAAAGAAATCAGAAAAATAGAAAACAGTAGAGAAAATTTAATAAAAACAACTTAATTTACAAATATCAAAAACATTGATAAATTTTAGATGAGCTAATAAAGAAAAATAGATTTAAAAAATTCCAGTGTAAGAAATAAAAGAGAAGACAGGTTGTACACATGTAACATTTTACCATCAAATTTGAAAACTTAGGTAAAAATATACAAATAACTTGAAAAAGACAATTTATCAAAACTGATATAACAAGAAATAGAAAAATCTAAGTATACATATCAATTACAAACATTTTAATTACCAAAAACCTTCTCATTAAGAAAACTCTAGGCCCAGATCATTTCACTCTAAATTTAACGTGTAAAGAAGTTAAAATGCAAATCTTATATAAACTCTCACATAATACCTTCTTATCTTATGAGACCAATATGACATCAAAACTAAAAATTTTTTGAAAATTGCAATATAAATTAATTATCATGAACTTACATGCAAAATACTTAATAAAATTCTAGCAGATTGAATCTGGCAATTTATAAAAGGATAAACTCCACTGGGGTCTATTCCAAGAATGTTAGTTTGCTTAAATACTCAAAAACTGATTGCTACAATTGATATTCTTGTAGAAATAATGATTTCTTAGTTTTGATATTTTACCATGATTAGGTAAGTTACTAACATTAGGGAAATTTGAGTGAAGAGCATAGAAGTTGTCATTGGACTATCTTTGAAACTCTTCTGTAAGTCTAAAATTATTTTAAAATAAAAAATGTAAAAAATAATGAATATAATTTACCAATATTACAGAATAAAGAGAAAAAATGTATAATCCTTCCAATAAATGCAAAAAGCTTTTGACAGAATTTACTACCCGTTAATACTAAGGTCTCTCTGAAAATATCCTTAGAAGGGAACTTCTTCAATTTGGTAAAGGGCATTCATAAAACATCTATGACTAACATCTTGATTGGGATGATGGTTTCACAGTGTACATATTCATTAAAAGCCATTAAACTATACACTTAAGATGTGTGATTTCATTTTATGTAAAGTTACTTCAAATTATATATGTGCCTATGTATATGTCTCAGTATGTATGGGTGTGAATATACATGGATGTATCTAATCCAATTTTTGTCTTATATGCCAGATATATTTGGTTGATTAACACAGTGTCACTAAAATGATCATTTTGTAGGGAATATTTGGCAGAAGCTTCAATCCTAAAAAGTATGCTTACTCCACTTCCTTGCAGCTGGAGCTCTATATGAAAATGTAGCTTCACCAATTTCTGCATCTGTTTCTGATGGCAAGCAGGCTAATGGAGACAGACATTTTAAGAGTCAGTTGCAGCAGCTGACCTCAGCATTCCTGTCTAGTTATTAGCTTCCTGTGTGTTCAGCAGCTAATCTGTCTGCCGCAATGAATTGGTTTCTTCTCCATGGATCTTAACTACTATACAAATGTGGTACACCTTGAAGTAAATAGTCAATTCTTAAAGTTCTTTAAGCAAAATAAAAGACATTCTCTTTTTTTTCCTCTGTTTATGTTTATATCATCATTCTTTGTTTATAATACCTCATGATAAATATTGGATGAATTGTCTTACAAATTTTAATTATATATGCCTAGACAACTAAACCTGTTGTGATATTTGTTTTTTTAATTTTATTAGAGAGTTTATTAAAACAGTGTTAGGTTCACAACAAAATCGAACAGAAGGTGTAGAGATTACTCATATAGCTCTTTCCCCCACCTAAGAAAAAAATCTTGCACCACACTGGCATATTTGATACAATTGATGAACATACATTGACACATTGTTATTACCCAAATTTTATTGTTTACATTATAGTATATTCTTGGTGTTGTACCTTCTAGTATCATATAGAGTAGTTTCACCACCCTAAAACTCCTCTGTGCCTGCCTCCTAACCCCTCCTAAACCTTGATTTTTTTGTTTTGTTTTGTTTTTGTTTTTGAGACAGGGTCTCACTCTGTTGCCTTGGGTGGAATGCAGTGGTGCGTTCTCAGCTCACTGCAAATTCTGCCTCACAGTTGGGCTCAAGCGATCCTTCTACCTCAGCATCTCAAGTAGTTGGGACCACAGGTGTGTGCCACCACACTGGCCTAATCTTCTGTATTTTTGGTAGAGGCAGGGTTTTGCCATGTTGCCCAGGCTGATCTCAAACTCCTGATTTCAAGTGATTCAGCCTCCTTGGCCTCCCAAAGTGCTGGAATGACAGGCATGAACCGCTGCCCCAGCCAACCTTTATCTTTTTAGTGTCTACTTAGTTATGCCTTTTGCAGAATATCAGATAGTTGGAATCATAAAACATGTAGCATTTGCATATTGGCTTCTTTCATGTACATGAATTTAAGTTTCTTCTTTACCATTTTGTGGGTTGATAGCTCATTTCTCTTTATCACTGCCTAATATTCCATCGTCTAGATGAATTAAGTTTGTTTATTCATTCACCTACTGAAGGACATCTTGTTGTTTCCAAGTGTTGGCAATAATAAATAATGCAGCTATCAACATCCATGTGTGGGTTTTTGTGTGGATGTAAGTTTTTAATTCATTTGAATAAATAATAAGTGCAACTGTATTGTTTACTAAGTGTATGTTTAGTTTAGAAAGAAACTGCCAATCTGTTTTCAAAGTGGTTGTACCATTGTGCATTTCCACCATAAATGATTGTTTCTGTTGCTACAATTTTTTGTCAGCATTTGGTGTTGTGTTTCGAATTTTGCCAATTCTAATAGGTATTTCTATCCTGTTTTAATTTGCAATTTGTACTTGATGTTGAGCACTTTTTCATTTGTTTATTTGTCGTCTGTATATCTTCTTTGGTGAGGTATCTGCTCAGATTTTTTTGCCCATTTTTCGATTAGGTTGTTCATTGTCTTATTGTTGAGTTTTAGGAGTTCTTTGGATATTTTAGAAAACAGTATTTTATTAGATATGTTTTTTTTTTTACAAATGTTTCCTTCCGGTGTGTGGCTTGTTTTCTCATTCTCTTGAGATTGTCTTTTGTAGATCAGAATATTTAAGTTTAATGAAGCCCAGCTTATTAATTCTTTCTTTCATGTATCATGCCTTCGGTCTTGCATCTAGAAAGTTATTGCCATACCCAAGGTCATCTAAATTTTCTCCTGTGTTGTCTTCCATGGGTTTTATAGTTTTGCATTTTACATTTAGGAGTCTGATTTTAAGAAGTTTGTATTTTTGGAGTGTAACGGATCTCTGTCTAATTTTTTTTTTTTTTTTTTTGCATGTGGGTGTTCAGTTTTTCCACAGCACTCTTGGTTGAAAAAACTATTCTCTATTTTATTGCTTTTGCTCCTTTGTCAAAGACCTGTTGAGTATATTTATATTGGTCTAATTCTGGCCTTGCCATTTTGTTTCATTGATCTGTTTGTCTGTTCTTTTACTAATACCACACTATCTTGATTACTGCAGCTTTATGGTAAGTCTTGAAATCAAGTAGTGTCAGTCATCTGACTTTGTTCTTCTTTAATATTTAATTGGTTATTTTGGATCTTTTGTCTCTCCATATAATATTAGAATCAGTTTTTTGATATCCACACAATATCTTGCTGGGATTTTGATTGGAATTACATTGGATCTATAGATGAAGCTGCAAAGAACTGGCATCTTGGCAATATTGAAGTCTTTGTATTCACGAAGATGGAATATCTCTTCATTTATTTAATTTTTCTTTGATATTTTTCATTAGAGATTTTTATTTCTCCTCTCATATATATTGTACATATTTTCTTAGATTATAACTAAATATTTCATCTTGGAGGGTGCTTATGTAAATGATAATGTGTCTTTAATTTCTAATTTCACTTCTTCATTTTTGGCACATAGGGAGCTATTAACATTTCTTTATTAACCTTGTGTCCTGCAACTTTACTCTAGTTGTTTCTTAGTTCTTCTTTTGGATTTTCTACATAGACAATTACATAATCAGCAAACAAAAATAGTTTTGTTTCTTCCTTCTCAATTTGTAAACATTTTATTTACTTTTCTTGTCTTATTGTGATAGCTAAAACGTCCAGTATGATGTTGAAAACAGGTAGTAAGAGGAAACAACCGTGACTTTTTTCTAATATTAACAGAAACCATCTAGTTTTCCATCATTAAGTATGATTTGTAGCTATAGGTATGTTTTGCAGATGTTCTATATCAAAGTGTGGAACTTCTTCTCTCCTCCTAGTTTATTGAGAGCTTTTTTAAAAATTATGAATGGGTGTTGGATTTTGTCAAATGCTTTTTCTGTATCAATCAATATGATTGTTTGAGTTTTCTTCTTTAGCCCATTGGTGTAATGGATTAAATTAATTGATTTTCAAATGTTGAGCAGCCTTGTATACCTGGGATAAATCCCACTTAAACATGGTGTATATATATATATATTTTTTTGAGACAGGTTCTGTCTCTGTTGCCCAGGCTGGAGTGCAGTGGTGCAATCCTGGCTCACTGCAACCTCCACCTCCTGGGTTCAAGCAATTATCCTGCCTCAGCCTCCTGAGTAGCTGGGACTACAGGCACACACAACACTTGGCTAATTTTTGTATTTTTAGTAGAGATGGGGTTTCACCAGGTTGATCAGGCTGATCTTGATCTTACCTCAAGTGATCCCCCTAACTCGGCCTCCCAAATTGCTGGGATTACAGGTGTGAGCCACCACCCCTGGCCAAATTCATTTTACACTTTGGTGGTTTTGATTTGATAATGTTTTTGAGGATTTTTGTATATATGTTCATTAGAGACATTGGCTTTTTCTTGTAATATCTTTGGTTTTGATATTACAGTAATGCTGGCTTCAATTAATGAAGTAAAATGTATTCCTCTCACTTTTACCTTCTGAAAGAGATTCTACAGAAGTGGTATAATTTCTTCCCTAAATGTGTGGTAAAAATCACCAGTGCACTTAACTTGGCATGTTGCTTTCTATTTTGGAAAGTTATGAATAATTGATTCGATTTATTGAATAGATACAGGACCCTTTAATTTGCCTGTTTCTGTTTGAGTTTGGCAGATGGTGTCTTTTAAGGATTTGGTCCATTTCATCTAGGCTATCAAGTTTGTAAGCATATGGTTATTCATAATACTGCTTTATTATCCTTTTAATGTCTGTGGAGTATGTAATGATGTTTCCTCTTTTATTTTTGACATTAGTAATTTGTGTTTTCTCTTTTTTTTTTCTTAGTCATCCTGGCTTGAGGCTTATTGATTTTGTTGATCTTTTCAAATAACTAGGCTTTGGTTTTGTTGACTTTATCTACTGATTCACTGTTTTCAATTTTATTGATTTGTGCTCTAATTTTTATTATTTATGTTCTTCTGCTTACTTTAGGTTTAATTTGCCCTATTTTGCTAGTTTCCTAAGGTTGAATATTAGATTATGGATTTTATAGCTTTCTTATTTTCTAAGAATATATATTTAATTCTATAAATTTCCTCATAAGCAGTTTTCACTGCGTTACACAAATTTTGATAAGTTGTATTTTACTTTCCATTATTTCAAAATCTTTTTAAATTTTTCCACATTTCTCTTTTGACCCATGTGTTATTTAGAAGTGTGTTGATTAATTTCCAAGTATTTGAGGATTTTCCACAGTCTTTCTGTTACTGGTTTCTAATTTAAGTCCTGTGGTAGGAGAGCAGATAGTGTATCATTATTATTGTTTTCAAATTTTTAAGGGATGTTTTATGGCCCAGAATATAATCTGTCATGGTTACTGTTCCATGAGAGCTTGTGAAGAATGTGTAATCTGCTGTTATTTGATGAAGGAGTCTATAGATGTCAGTTTTATCCAGTTGATCAATAGTGCTCTTGAATTCAACAATGTCCTTACTGATTTTTTTTTTTTGGCTGTTAGAGCTTTTTATATATAAGATAGGATTGTTAAAGTCTACAACCATAGGAGTGAATTCATCTTTTACTCCTTGCTACTCCATCAATATTTGCCTTACGTATTTTGATGTTCTTTGGTAAGACACATCCGCATTAAGGATTATGTCTTCTTGCAGTGTTGAGCCTTTTATTTGTATTGGCCCTTTCATGTCTGATAACTTTCCTTGCTCTGAGGTTGGTTCTGTCTGAAATTAACATAGCTACTCTCACTTTCTTTTGACTAGTGTTGTATCTGTCTCCATCCATTTACTTTTGGTCAGTATGTGTTTTTGTATTTAATGTCTGTTTATTATGAACAAGTTATAGTTGTGACTTGTTTTTGGATACACTCTGACATTTTCTGTCTTTCAATTGGTGTATTTAGACTGCTGATGTATAAACTTATTAGTAATATACTTGAATTAATACCTGTCATATTTGTTACTATTTTCTATTCTATGCCCCCTGTTCTTTGTTCTTATTTTTGCCTTTTGTACTATTTCTGTCTTTTGCAGTTTTTATTTAACATTTAAGCTTATCCCAACTTCATTCATTTCTTACCATATCAATTATACATTTTTTTTTTTTACTTTTTTTAGTCGTCACCCTATAGCTTTCAATATACATTTACAACTAATTCAAGCCCACTTTCAAATCACATTATACACTTCAGGGTAAAAAAAAAAGAAGCTTTTAATAACTAAATACGTTTATTTTTCCTTTCACTCTTTGTATCGTTGGAAACATTTATTTTATTTTTAAATAAGCATATCATATATGTATATATATGTATAAACATATGTAATCTAATACATTTTTGCTATTATTTGAACAAATTATCTGTTAGTTTAATCCAGAATTTTTAAAATGAAGTTTCATTTAACCTCCAACTATTCCCTATGCTCTTCTGTTCTTTATTTAGATCCTAGTTTCTGATCTTTATACATTTTTCTTTTCCCTGAATATTTATTTTCAGAGACAGGGCCTTACTCTGTCACCTTGGCTAGAGTGCAGTGATGCAATCATAGCTCACTGCAGCCTCAAGCTCCTGTGCCCAAGCAATACTCTTGCCTCAGCCTCCCAACTAGCTGAGACTACAGGCACACACCACCATACCCAACTTACTTTTTTTGTTTTTCATAGAGATGAGTTCTTACTATGTTTCCGAGGCTGGTCTTGAACACCTGGTCTCAGGCAATCCTTCTGCCTCAGCATCCCCAAGTGCTAGAATTACAATTGTGAGCTACCACATCTGGTCTCCCTTCATAATTGAAGGATGATTTCAAAGGATAGATAATTCTAGGTGTATTTTTTTCTGTCAGTACTTTAAATATTTCATTTCACTGTTTTCTTGCATGGTTTCTGTATAGAAGTCAGATGTAATTTTTATCTTCCATAGGTAAAGTACTTTTTCACTCTTTTTTCTTGTTTTTTATTATCTTTAATTTTCTATAGTTTGAATATAATATTTATACACATAGATTTTTTTCTTTAATTTTAGGGGTAGTATTTGTCCTTTTTGGCATTCTGTGAGCCTCTGGGTTCTGTGGTTTGGTGTCTGACATTAAATTAGGGAAATTCTCAGTCATTATCGCTTAAAATATTTTTTTATTTTGTTTTTAGAGATCAGGTCTGGCTATATTGCCCAGGCTGGTCTTGAAATCCTGGTTTCAAGAAATTCTTCCTCCTAGGCCTCCCAAAATGATGAAATTACAGATGTGAGACAGTGTGTCCAAGCTTTAAGTATTTCTTTTTTTATTTCTCAGTTTCTTGTTCTTTTATTTTTATTTTTTGTATGTTATACCTTTTTTTAGTTGTCCCACTGTTCTTGGATATCAGTTCTGTTCTTTGTTTTGGGATTTTTTTCTTAGTGTCTTTTTTTTTTTACTTTTTGAGGTATCTGTTGTCATGTTCTCAAGCTCAGATGCTCTTTCTTCCACTGTGTCCGGCTTACTACGGATCCTACCAAAGTCATTATTCATTTCCATTGTAGTGCTTTTAATCTCTGGTATTTCCTTTTGAATATTTCTAAGAATGTCCATCTCTTTGCTTACATCATCTATCTGTTACTTTGCTGTTTACTTTTTCCTTTAATGCTTTTGTCATATTCATCATAGTGATGATTTTTCTTTAAAAAAATTTGGTCTGCTATAGTCAACAGTCTTGTTATGTTCTACCTGGTTCATAGGTTTGTTCAGTCTCTTCAAATTATGGGTTTTGTTTGTTTTATTTATTTATTTATTTATTTATTTATTTATTTATTTTTGGCATTTTAGTCTGCCTTTTAATTTTTTTGTTGTAAGGTGAACATTTTTTACTAGGTAAAAGAAACTATGGTAAATAAGCCTTCATTAATGTAATGGTAAGGTTTGTGGGGAGAAGAAGCATTCTGCAGTCCTGTGATTAGGTCTCAGTCTTTTGTAGACCTGTACCCTCCGATGGTAAACTTCATAACTGCTTCTTAATCCTTCCCGCTTTAGGTGGGAAAGGAAGCCCAGAGGGGGTTGGAGTTTGTTATTTCCCATTCTCCACATGAAAGGCTAGAGCCTGATGGAGGTGGGTATTTTCCCTCCCCTAGTTAGGTCAAGATCTGAAAAAAATCCCAGCAGGTCAAGCTCTGGTAAAACAGCTTCTCCTCAGATCAGGCCTTGCTAAGAACAGAATGCGCTGATGTATTTCAAAATTGCTCATTCCCTGTCCCTCTGCCAGGGGCATAAGGAGATTTTTCTCAAATATTCACCATAAGGACCTGGTTGAGCTCCTGGAGTTAAAATTCATGAAAGTGTGAGGGCCCTTCTGTGACTGGATTCCCCTGAAGTTTTTAACTTTCTGACTTGTCTACACTGAGCCTCCAGCAATTTGACATTACAGTTCACATTTTCCTACCTGGGCACTGGTTTTCCTGCTTATGGGTTTTTGTTGCAGTCAGTTGTGGTGCTCTATATTTGCCTTTCTCTCCAATTCTGGGGACAATGGTTTACCCTGGGACTACACTTCTCTAGTGGATTTAAGAAGTGTTGTTTATCCTTCAGTTTGGTCTGCTCTTTGCTTGTTGTTAGGATGGAGTGGCAATGGCTAAGCTCCTTACATGCCCGATCCAGGAAATTTCCTTTTGGTAATAGTTCTCAAAAATCATGATTGTGGACTTTTGAGAGTCTATGGAAATTTTCATGTAGACTTTCTCCATTAAACTTGAAGTAAATGTTTAAGCTTTTTTGCCATATAATTCACAAACCACAAAATTCACCTATTTAAAGTGTACAATTTTATGGGTTTTAGTTTATTTACAGTGCTTTAATTTTCAAATATTTTTAGATGTTTAAGTTTAGAATTTTTTGTAACATGCGCACACACACACACACACACACACACACACACATATATATATATATATACCCCTGTACTTATTAACAGTCATTCCCCATTATTCCGTCCAGATGTCCTCATCCCAAACCCCCTTCTTCCCACCTCCTAGCCCTAGGTAACCACTAATCTATTTTCTGTCTCTATAGATTGACCTAATCTGGGCATTTCATTTAAATTGAGCTGTGGAATATATGATGTTTTCTAGGTTCATTCATATTGTGCCATGTATTGTGCTTCATTAATTCCGATTGTCGAATAATATTCCACCTTATGGATGTACTATTTTATTGAATCTATTCATTTGATAGACATTTGAGTTGTTTCAACATTTTGGCTAATATGAGTGATGTTGCTATGAACATTTATGTACAAATTTTTCTGTGTTCATTTCTCTTGAATAAAATACCTAGGAGCGGAATTGCTGTGTTATGTAACTACATGTTTAACTTTTTGAGGAGCTGTCAGACTATTTTTCAAAGTTGCTGCACCATTTTTACATTTCCTCCAAAAGTATATGAGATTACTAATTTATTCTCACCCTGACTGATATTTGCTATTATCTAACTATATTATTATGGCCACATTAGTAGGTATGAAGTGTTATTTCTCTGTGGTTTTGATTTGCATTTCTCTGATGGCTAATAATGTTTAGTGTCCTTTTATTTGTTATTGATCATTTATAAATCATTTTTAGAGAAATGTCTATTCAGATCCTTTGCCAAATTTTTAATTGGGTAATTTGTCTTAGGATTGATTTCTTCTTAGGTATACAGTTTTGCTGATGTTAGTCAGCACTGCTTCCTTGGGATACACTCGACTTGGTCATGGTGGGCAATACTTCTAATATAATATTTAACTTTCTTTACTAACATTTTATGGAAAATTTTAATATCACATAAAATATTATTAAATATCAATATTCAGAAATGAGATTGTGATTTTAAAGCTATGTAGATTAAATTTTAACGTTAGGATTTTGCTAGCATCGTAAAGTAAATTTGATAGATTTCATTTTTTTAGTGCATAATATTATTCATAGTTTTTGCTTGACTAAACTCACTGTCAAAACAGTATCTCTATAGAATATTCTTTGGAGATAATTGGCATATTAAAGACATTGTAATCAGGGAAAGCCGAGGTGAATCTCAGGCAGCCAAGAAGGCTATGGACTCTGAGAAAACTGAAAATAATTTGAATTTTATTCACCTTTTAACCATGAAATCTAGCCGGGGAAATAACTTAGGAGGTAAAGACATACAGAGACCTGGGGACACATGTAGAGGCAGAATAATTTCAGTCAAGAACCCCATCACCTCCTGATATCTACAAGGCAGCATAAAAGGAATGGATGCTTTCTAAGGAAAGAAGAATGAGGAGAGGCCAAGCTCTGAAAAGGGCTGAGCATATTTAGACAAGGGAGAATAAAAAGTCTCTTAATAGATTTAACTTAATAAAGCATAAATTATAATTCATATTGGATCATTAGCTATTTTTTTCTTTCCCTCAACCTGGCAGATGTTTATTGTGCTGTACAGTAGATAAGAAACAGACAAAGGAGCTGAATTTCTCTGAGTCGTACTGTGAGGTAAAATTTGTAGCCTCACTAATACTATGCTCTCTAAACATCAAAGGCTTTTTGTCCAATGGCAAATATAACATTTGTACCACAAACTTTAATAATCCTCATAAATATTGCTCTCATTTTTATTTAACTTTAGGGCTTTAGCTTTCAGGGACCAAAATGAAATAAGATGAGAAACAATTAGCTTCACATTAAAGACAATATTTTTTCTTACAGCAGTAGTTTAATGTGAAAATATCATGTAAAAACAGATCACCTGGGCCTGTCCTTAAAATGCAGATGAGGCTTCAGAGCCTGAGAATGTGCATTTCTAGCAAGTTTCCAGGTGATTTAGATGCTGCTAGTTTATGCACCACACTTTTAGTACTGAGGATTTATAGCAGGTGATTCTAACTAAATCTACTGTCATAATCACCTGAGTAACTATTTCTACATGCAAATGGCTAATTCCATCTTCCCTGCATTCCCCAATTTCTCTGAGCAGAGCTGAGGAATTACCAATATCAGGGATGGAGTCCTGACCTTACGTATTTTAGCAAAATCGAAATAGGTAAAGATTCCCAAATGATTTCAATATGATGCATCTTTACCAGGGAGTTTAGAAACATTGCTTAGTAAACATAAGAGTCATGCACATGATCCTTAAATTCTAGATGAGAACCTGTCATTATATAATCAAGTTTAAAATGGCTTTACTAAGTTTGTGATGAACGTAGAATGAGTAATTATGATTTTGATAGAATGACAAATTGGATATAGGATTCCTGGAACATAAAGTAATGCCCCAAATCATCAAGATAAATGCCAAATTGCATTAAACCCAAGAAATGCATGGGTTTTACTAACATTTTATTGTTCATGTGATTCTAATTGAAACCACTGTGGGCGCACTAATGATTTTAGCCTGGTGTATGTTACAATGACATTCAATGACAAATTAGATTATTCAGTCATAACTTTATTTAGCAAGGAACTTATTCCCATTAGGAACAACTTCTCATTTTCCTCCATAGAGTAGCGGTGCATTTCCTAGGAGAAATCACTTGGTCAATGCCAGCAGTCTGCTTCAATTTCCTACTATCCAGGGATCCTGAGATTCAAACATCTGTGAAATTTCCAATGGCTTCTTCATGCCAGTGGAAAGTAAAAAATTTCTTGCTTTGATGGTGTTTCCAGATGTTCTTAATGCTGCACATATGGCAAGGGCCATTCCTTCCTAATAAGCTGAGGTTTTCAAAGAATCACACTAGGCAACTGAAATGCGACAGACCCTGAAATCTACCTATAAATTGGCTTTATCTGAAAAGCATTTATATTCCTGACAACCAATGTAATTATCCCAATACCTACATACAAGGCTTCACACAGTCATGATGATGAAACAATTTGTAAAATACTCTTGGTTTGTGGCACAGTGAAGCTGCTTAATTGCTGAAAATAAACTTTACTAAAATTTCCTTTTGAAACTGTTTTCTTTTTTATTGTTACAGATCATTAGGATTAGATACAAGAAGATATTTCAGGGACATATAGCTGGAAAAGTGAAACTGCCTTTGGTTTGCTCTTCTTCTTTTACTGTGGCCTTATTCATATTCTCAACTCTTTTATTCAGTTAATTTATAAAATACATTTAATAAAATTAAATAAAATCGATGAGATAGGAACCGTTGCGATTTTCCAATTCTTCCACAAATTGTTTAATTGAAGTTACTGTAAACTTTTACTTGAACTATTGAAAGAGTCTTCTAAATTCATTAGATCAGTATTTTTAAAAATGCAGTCCCATTTTTTAAAACACTGACCAGCAGTAGTAGCATCACCAAGAAACTTGTTTGAAATGTAAATTATCTGGCACTACCCCAGATCTATGGAATTTGAAACTCTGGGGTGGGGCCCAGCTCACTGATTTATAATAAAACTTTCAGATGATTTCGCTGCAAGGTAAAGTTTGAGAACCACTGAATCAAAGTGCTAAAATCTGAAAAATTATGGTTGGACAGTTAGAAGTTAAATACACTAAAGGTACTCAAGGATAGATTCAGAGATAATATGAAATTGGAACAACATTTGTTATCAAGCTGAGGAGGGTTTCCTTGCAAAATCTAGTGTCAAGATTGAAAAGAACAAGATCTCACAGGAATGGATTGTATATTTGGGACATGCAGAAAAAATCTGTGTGGTTAAGTAATAGGACTACTTAGTGGGAAGCAACTGATTAGGGAGAGTGAAGAGAGTTATTTGGTGGAGTTGTGAAAGGCTAGATGCAGTCTATCCTCTCAGCAAGAAGTGTCAGAAGTTGTCAAATGGAAGAGTGACATCATCACATTTGCTTTCTAGAAACATAATTTTGGCAGCAGTGTGGTGGATTAAGTTATGTAGAGAATGAGAAATAAACCAATTAAGTAGTTACTACAATATTAAACTGAGAGATGATGAAGTTTTATATTATGACTAAAAATGAGGGGTTGGCTTTGAGAGGGATTCCCATAGCACTGTGGTCAGTTAAGTTGTTAGAAGATCCACTTCTAGATAACATGGAGAATGTAGCAAAGATTATTGCTACAATCTTAATAAGAAAACACCAAATACATTAAAAATAATATTTCTTTTAAAATCTGTAAAGAATGGTGGATATAAATAAATCTAAATAAACTAATTCAAAAGAGAAACAAATACTACATAAGTGAACAAAAAGTAGAAGTACCCTAAATGTAGGAATTGTTTGAAAGTGAAAATATATACCACATCAAACATCAGTCATAAGAGAGTTCCTGTATCAGTCAGAGACAGAAATCATACCAGATATTTGAAGAAGGATAATTAGTGTAAAGAATTTTTTTTTTTTGAGACAGAGTTTCACTCTTGTTGCCCAGACTGGAGTCCAATGGCGCGATCTTGGCTCACCGCAACCTCTGCCTCCTGGGTTCAAGCGATTCTCCTGCCTCAGCCTCCCGAGTGGCTTGGATTACAGGCATGTGCCACCATGCCTGGCTAATTTCTTGTATTTTTAGTAGAGACAAGGTTTCTTCATGTTGGTCAGGCTGGTCTCCAACTCCCGACTTCAGCTGATCTGCCCACCCTGGCCTCCCAAAGTTTTGGGATTACAGGCGTGAGCCACTGCGCCAGGCCAGTGTAAAGAATTTTTAATTTAAAAGGTTACAAGTTACTAAAATAATTAAAAAATATAATTTCAAGGGCAGAAGGTAATTACTACCTCTCTGCTGAAGAAAAGTGAGCAAGAAAGGAATTTAGAGGAGCCCCACAGTGTAAGATGTAGCCTTCTTTGTATAGGGCATGGCTGCCACAGGAAAATGCAGCCTACTAGTGGAAGATAAATTTTCTAGAATGTGTCAATGAATGAGCAAGAGCTGAGTGCAAGTATATGGCTGTCATGATGAAGGAAGAAGGTAGGCCACACGTGGGTTGTAATTAAATCATTGGGTTAGGATAAGATAACACATGGATATAGAGGAAAATTATGAAAAAATCCAGGTCAAGCACTAGGGGACAATAGGCTCATTGTATTAAGAAAGAAAAGTAAGATGAAAGGGGCAAAAATAGTCAAGTGCTATCTTATAAATCAAAGAAAGAGCTCAATATGTAGGGCCTCATGTTTACTAGCATTTTTTTAAGCTGACAGGGATGTCTATTGCTATAGTTTGGATATATCTCTGCCAAATCTCATGTTGAATTTTTATCCTCAATAATGGAAGTAGGGCCTGGTGAGAGGTGTTTGTGTCATGGGAGCAGATCCCTCATGGTTTGGTGCTGTCCTTGTGATAGCGAGTGAGTCTTTATGAGATCTTGTTGTTGTAAAGTGTGGCACCTCCTCCCCTCCCTTTCCCCCTGGCTCCCCTACTACCATGTGAGATACCTGCTCCCTCTTTGCCTTCCACCATGATGATAAGTTTCCTAGAAGCAGATGCTTTCTATATAACCAGCAGAATCATGACTCAATTAAATATCTTTTCTTATAAATTTTCCAGTCTCAGGGTTTTTTTAAATATATGTATAGCAATATAACAATGGCCTAACAGAGAAAATTGGTACAGAGGAATTGGGCATTCCTATAAAAATACATGAAAATGTGGAAGCCGCTTTGGAACTGGGTAATGGACAGAGGTTGAAAAAAAGTATGGAGGGCTCTGGAAGAAGACAGGAAGATAAGGAAAAGTTTGGAACTTCTTAGGGGCTGGTAAAATGGTTGTGATCAAAATGTTGATAGAGATATGGACTATAAAGTCCAGGCTAATGAGTGTTCAGATAGAAATGAGGAACTTATTAGGAACTAGAGCAAAAGTCACACATGTTATGCCTTAGCAAAAAGCTTGGATGCATTGTGTTCATGCCATAGGTATCTGTGGAAGGTTGGACGTGAGAATGATGTCTTACAGTATCTAGTGGACATAATTTCTAAGCAGCAAAGCTTTCAATATGTGGCCTGGCTGCTTCTAATGGCTTACACTCAGGTGTTAGAGCAAATAATGACTGAAAGTTGGAATTTACATTTAAACAAAAAGGAAAGCATAAAACTTTGGATTATTTGCAGCCTGGCCATGTGGCAGAGAAAGATAAAGCTTTTTTGGAAAAGAAATTCAAGCAGGCTATGGAGCAACCACTTGCTAGAGAGATCTGCATAACTAAAAATGAGCCAGGTGCTGATAGCCAAGACAATGGGAAAAAGGCCTTGAAGGCATTTCAGAGATCTTCCAGGCAGCTTTTCTCATCACAGGCCCAGAGGCCCAAGATGATTGAATGGATTCAAGAATCAGGCCTGGGGTGCCACTGCCCTGCACCACTCCAGGAGGCTGCTCCTTGCATCTAGACCTTTCCAGCTCCAGCCTCAGCTCATAGGGCCCCAGATACAGTTCAGGCTGTCACTTGACAGGGTGCAAGATGTAAGCCTTTGATAGCTTCCATGTGGTATTAAGCCTACAGGCATGCAGAGTGCAGGAGTGAAGGGTTGGAAGCCTCTACCTAGATTTCAGAGAATGTGTGAAAAACCCTGAGTGCCCAGGAAGAAGCCTACTGCAAGGACAGAGCCCTTGTAGAGAACCTCTATCAGGGCACTGCCAAGGAGAAATGTGGAGTTGGAGCCCCCACACAGAATCCCCCATGGAGCTCTGCCTATTGGAGATGTTAGAAAGGGTCCACCACCTTCCACACCACAGAATAGTAGAGAGCCCCCAGCAGCTTACAAGCTCAGCATGGAAAAGCCACAGAGATGGAGCTGCTCAAGGTTTTGGGAGCTGACCTTTTGCACCAATGTGCCCTGAATGTAGGATATGGAGTCGAAGGAGATTATTTTGTAGCTTTAAGATTTAATTACTACCCTGCTGGGTCTCAAACTTTTGTGGGGCCTATACACCCTTTCCTTTGGCAGATTTCTCCCTTTTGGAACAGGAATATTTACTCAGTGTCTATACCTACATTTTGTCCTGGAAATAAATAACTTGCCTTTGATTTTACAGGCTTATAGGTGGAAGGTACTTGCCGTCTTTCAGATGAGACTTTGCACTTTGGAGTTAATGCTGGAATGAATTAAGATTTTGAGGGATTGTTGGGAAAGCATGATTGTGTTTTGCAATGTGGGAAGGACCTAAGATTGAAAGGGGAAGGACAAAATGGTATAGTTTGGATATATGTGCCCATCAAATCTCATCTTGAATTATAATACCCAGTTTTGGAGGTGGGGCCTGGTGGGAGGTGTTTGGGTCGTGCTGGCAGCTCTCTCATGTCTTGGTGCTTTCCTCATGATAGCAAGTGGGTTATCATGAGACCTGGTTGTTGTAAAATGTGGCCCTCTCCCGCCCAACTCTCTCTCTTGTTCCCTCTCTGCCGTATGAGACACTTGCTCCCCCTTCACGTTCCATTAAGACTGTAAGTTTTCTGAGGTCTCACCAGAAGCAGATGCCAGTACTATGCTTCCTGTACAGCCTGCAGAGCCATGAGCCAATTAAATCTCTTTTATATAAATTACCCAGTCGCAGGTTTTTCTTTATAGCAATGCAAGAATGGCCTAATACATCTATGTATCTGGTAAGAAGAACATTTTCTTGCACTTCTGGAAGAAATACATATTAGATAACCTTTCTCAGAAATATAGCATAGATTTGAATATCATTAAAATGCATCCTTTCACATTGTAAGTCCACTACTGGGAATAAATGATTAGAGTTTTAACTAAATATTATGCACAAAGATTTTCTCATAGCACAATGTGTTATGATAAGAACAAACTAAATGTCCCAATAGAGGGGAGTGACTATACAAGTCATGGTTAATATATATGATAAAATAATATATAAATAGTAAAATATTTTTATAGAACATATAATTATATCTGGAAATCTAACAATATAATTTAATAGGAATGAATATAAAAATAGAAGAATCATAATCCCATGTAAATAAATGTTCCTAGAAAAAAGTCAAAATTACTGATTTGGAGTATGGTGATATTATAATAATTATGGTAATTAAATCCAGTTTATTTCTACAAATGAGCTTGTATTATAATCCATAAAATTCAATGATATTTTAATAAATATGAAGGTGTTGATTGTCAAACTCGTTGAATTATTCTAGGCATTTAATGCTATAAAGCATAAAAATAGAAATGTGAGACACGGCAGTTAGGAGATTACACATGAGTCTTTTGAAAAGGGCCTCAGTGGAGTGATAGGAGTGGAAGCTACCAGGAAATAGGTTGATAAAGAAAAAATAAAGTCAGTAATTATAAACTACATACTGAATATATTAATTAATGATTCAGAAGAGGAGAAAAATGAGAGGAACTAAGGGAAGACTTTGAGACCATTTGTGCATTTTAATGCATATTTGCATAACTGAGGAGAATGGGCCAAGGAAGAAGGTAGCTGAAGGTCACAGAAAACAAAGGGAACAACTGTCCATTGGTGTCCTGAAAAAGCAGAGTGGGAGGCATTCGGGGTACATTTAGGGAATTTGTCAGAATACATTGTGTGTCTCTTTAAATCAGATGTGAATTTGTACATACACACACATATATGTTTAATTCTTTATGATGTTTTCCAGTGGTCTTTCACCACAGATAATATGTTTATTATGCTGAAGGAAGCAGCCCAGTGGCTGGACAAAATCTATCTCCGTAACATGAGATATATATATGTGCACATATATTTGCATGTGAGGGGGCATGTATTTGTGTGTGTTTGTGACTTTAGGTACAGGGCAACAGGAAAAGTTAAGTTTGCATATTTCTTTGACCTGAGTATCACTCTATCAAGCTTAATTCCTTCTCTTCAGGCTCAAGTCTTAGGTATAAAAACACAAATATTGAGTAGATTTTTTTTTTCCTCAGGCTTTGCATCCAGATAAAAAGGCTTTTCATATGAACTGGGAAAGATTCATTGGTTGATTCACTATACAGGTTAGAGAAGAATAAAGAGAGTGAAGAGAAGAAAGAGGAAAAATAAAAGAGAGGAAAGACAGAGCAAGGAAAGGAAAAATAAAGGAGAAAATGTCACTGTTGAGTGTGTGTGCATGCATAGGCACACATGAACAGGGATCAGGACAGGTGCATGGGAAGAGCGTGAGAGTGGAGCCTGTCCAACACAAGCCCAGTGTGGGCACATACTAACAGCAGTGCAGGAGACAGAGTCTGGTATACTGGTAACCAGATGTGCCCCTGCCATGACTCCTGGAACAGAATTAGAGGTGGGCCAACTCTCTTTGCATCTGGGAATCATTTCACCACTTAGGATGAAACCACCCACATATTTGTTCACTTGACTCTGTGTGTGTGTGTGTGTGTGTGTGTGTGTGTGTGTGTGTTATAGATATGCATGAAAAATATAACTTACTTTTCTCCTAAATACAGTAATTTATATTTTTGGCTACTTGGTAATAGTGGAAATGGTGGTAAGTAAAGAAAGAAGTATAATGTAAAAAAATACAATGATCATAAGATGGATACATCAAGAGTAAATGCAAGTCAGGGAAATATAATAAAATTTCCAAGACATTGAAATTGTTGAGTGGTTTTAACTCTATGAGATACATAAGGTATGATGTAGTAGAAAGTACATTATTTGGGCTAGGAATCTAAGAACCTGGTTTCTACTTCCAGGCCTGTCACTTTCTTTCAAGGGCGAGACCTTGTGTTCTTACTATCAACTTTATTCACAAGTTAAATGTCGAAGTGGGTCTCAAGACTAGAAGGTTGGATATCAATCTCTGAAGAAAAAGAGAGTTATTTGATTTATTTGGGTCTTTCATAAAATTTACAAATGTTTTTCAGGCAAGAATTTGAAAAAAAAGTCAATATAGCTGAGACAGGAAAGTACAGAGTCTTATGTGTGATCTGTCAAGAGAACAAAATATACAGAAACATGTCTGGAAAAAAAAAAAAGAAATGGGCAGACTTTGATTGGATCAATGGCACAATTTAGCTTGGCATAATTTCTTTGTAACAGATAAACCTATTAGTTATGGAGATATGTATTTACCTGAAACAGGCAATTTCTCACATGTATATGCTAAAACAACATCTTATTTCAAGTGGTTTCATATCTTTATTAAATTTGAAGATTTGAAGATATGTGAATAATTACTATTTGTTATGTTTTCCCTGTGTCAGATATATGTATTACATACTAAGGTTCTCATTTAACCTGCATCGCAATCTTGCAAATATTAACCCCTCATTTTTTAAATAAGAAAAATGGGCCCCCAAAATTTCACTTAATTAGCTCAAGGGCCTGTTTGTTTTCAGACCTACCATATTGTACAGATTCCTCTTATGCCATGATCAAAGTTAAAATACATTTCAGCATTTCAACAACTTGTTAGTTTTTGCATCTCTGATTATTTATTGTTAGTTCACTTGTCCTAGGCTCCCGGATTAGGTCTTTTCTTTGGCCATCATGGTTCTCTCCAATCCAGCTTCATTCAAACCTGTGTAGTTTGTCAGCATTCTCAAGTTAAAGTGGCAAAGAAATTGAATTGCCTGAGGATCTTGTTCCCTGAGTTGATCAAGTCCTCTGCATCTTTCTATAACTGTGTCATGTAGTTAGAACTGTTCTGTTTTTTTTTAAATTTCTTCCACACAATAATAAGAACACTTCCACTAAGATTAGGCTAAGCCTTTATTAGTTTCCTTAATCTTTTTTTTTAACTTTGGCAGGAAATAGAATACTAACTCACAAGAAGAGGCAGACAATTGCAGCATTGACTCCATCTCCAGTATACAGAATGACCTTACAAATTTAATCAAATATTTAGCTTGATTTTTGTGTGTATATACAAATTTATAGGTAAAAATGGCATCAACATTTTTAGTAAAAAATGCAAAAGCTTGGAAATGCTTAAAATTATGATATAAAATGCAAATGTCAAAAATTATTATTATTTTACATAATTATCATGTTGATTTAATAGATGACATTATACTATGTCTACAGACGTATGTATTAAGGTCTAGTTGGTCTCTTCCATGGGAACAGGTAGAAGAAAATCAAAATAAGTACTATCCTCTATAACCATAACAAATAGTTAACTAAATCTCCTTGTTAAATGCAAAATGCTTTGTTTGTTTTGTTTTTCATATGGGTGTCACAAGGTTCTCCCGGCTAAACCACTGGAACATTTGCAGTATAGCATCAGAGTACGGACTAAGCTTGAATATAGAGATTGCTGTCAACTAATATTTGTTGTAAAATGATAATATTATTTTAAAAATGTGTGAAATTAATACTAATTCTATGAAGATAGCTTTTGGAAATTTGGGGTGTTTGTGGCTAAAGGTGAAGTAAAATTGTAAGAATGATTGCTGTTTCTTCATATTTGCTATAGCCATATAACTTGAAAGAGGAAATGGGATGGAACTCGGAAAATCTATAGACTTTCCTTGCTTCCCTTTGTACCACAGTGAGCTATTTGGGATTTGCCACTTTCTTTGTAATATTTTAGAGAGTGAACACAAAGGAAAAGTCAAAGTTGAGTCATTTTGTTGAATTAAGAGAAATAGACTGTTGACTGTAAACACAACCAGGAGATACACTGTTCTCATTGAATTGATTGATTAATTTGTTCCAACAACAAATTTGACTTGTATCTTCTTTCAGTATATTGACTAACTACATTGGTTGCTTTTGTATATTTGGTTATACATGAACAGCTGTAGCATATTTAGTTCACGTGGGCCTTCGAGTCAGACAGCCCTTCAGAAACAACTGTGTTATTTTGCTTCAGTGATCTCATGTGTAAAATGGGGATTATACTAATACTAATCTCTTAGATTTATTGTGAGAACTAAATACATAGACTTGAACAGTACAAAATAAGCCTTTTAACCATTATTTTATCATAATTACATATGTGGGTGTACAAATATACACATAAGTTTGGTATCAAGTTTTGTATATATAGTACAAGTTTACTCAAGATATTCAGTTTAAAAAATCATTAAATTAAATAACAATTTAAATAAATTTATTTAATTTGAATTGCAGCTTAAAATCATGTGGAGAAAATAACCAGATGATGTTTGACAACCTATGTTATGTCAACTTGCCATGAAAAAAGTCAATTCAATTAAAAAATGTAATTATTCATTCCAATGATCTGTTTACACAGTACCAGGCGTTTAGTTTGGCCACATTTTTACTTAATTGCTCCAATAATTGGACTTTTGGTAGATAGAGCCTAGAATGGTCAAATTTGATGCTACTGAATGATTTGGTTGTTTAGATTTGTCATGACTCATTGACTATAAATAGCAACAGAATTATTTCTGGTTTCCTGCCACTCACAGGATCATGTAGTTAGGATGCAGAAAATATAAACATTTTCTTATTGTATCTAATTGTACTTCATCCATGAGAATACAATATAAATTTTAAAAATTTAGTATTCATTCCATTTTGGAGAGACTGTCTCTCTCCATATATGTATATATATATACATATACATATACATATATACACACATATGTATATATACATATACACATATACACATGTGTATATATACATACACATACATATACATGCGTGTATATACATACACATGCGTGTATACACATGCGTGTATACACACACGTGTATATACATACGTGTATATACATATACATATAAGTATATACGTATACATGTGTATATACATATACATATATACATATGTATATACGTATACATATGTGTATATATATGGAGAGAGTAAAATATGTATGGAGAGAGAGAGTAAAATTTTCTCCCTGCACTAAAGTCTGACTATATGTCTTTCTATCCTGTGAAAATATTTTTTAAGTATTTAATACTTCAAACATACATATATATACATATATATGCGTGTGTGTGTATATATATAGATATATATTCACATACACAGTATACCTACATCTATATATCTATATCTATGTTTATGTAGTCTCCAGATAGTACACATATATGTATATAATATTTGAAAAAATATATATATGTACAAAATAATATTCCTTACCTGAAATATTTTTTGCAAGGTGTGGGGGCGTGATAAATTGTAAAGAGTAAAATTTGCTCCCTGCACTAAAGTCTGACTATATATCTTTCTATCCTGTGAAAATATTTTTTAACTATTTAAAAGGCAAATACTCTTATTTACTTATTTAAATAATATGGTAATGTGATATTCCTGTCATTTTGAATTACATAAATAGGGAATACTAATCAATAAAAAACAAATATATGGAATGAAATTTTTAGAGAATTCCATTAGTTATAATAAAATTGTCACTAAAGAAAATTTAAAAATATACAAAGCATTAATTCATATTAATTTAGGAGTACAATTATCCTTACCACTGGAATCAATATGTAGGTATTTCTTTGGCCCCAAACAATTCCTGATGTTTTGTGATATAAATTGTAATACAAAATAGACAGAACCACTAAGGAATTTCCCCTCTATCAAAGGCTTAAATAAAAAATTATATAGTTTGAAAAATCATTTGTGCATTAACTTCTTCAAAAGTTCAAAAAGGAAGGAAAGTTCCAGGCAATAAAAAACTCAATTAAAAAAAACAAGACAAACTCTTGTGCAGTTTTAAGTTTTGTACTTTTCTTTTGTTCTTTTATTTATCATTCTTCTTCTGTAAATCATCAAGGCATGCAGAAAGCTTTTGTCATTGTATTGCCAAAAATGTGTGTGTGTGTGTGTGTGTGTATACATATATATATATACACACACACACACGCACACAATATCTATCTACTATTTATATGAAACATTCTTGTAAACTAAGTAATAAATGGTAAAGAGCTGAAATTTGCTTGGTCTACTACACACTGCCTGAGCAGAAAAACAATTTCTTTTTACTAAGATATACTGCATTTCTCTCCAGTTTGTAGAAAGGGTCTTTGGTGACCATTATAACTCCCAAGAGAATCTGAGGTGAGGAAAGAATATCATTTAAGCAGAGTTTTCCTTCAAGGCGTGAAATAACTGGTAAGAATCTGTACCTTTTTACCTTTTCAGCTGGAGCTGAATGTACATGAATCTGATGTGTCAAAAATATTTATAATAGATGACTTGGGGCCCCGATGCTGCAGCCCTCAGGCAGTCAAAACTCCAATTGACTTCAGTGGGAACTTTACCTGTCCAAGGTCCAGCTGCCTTGTGCCTGTAGGGTAAAAGGAAGAGCTTAAATGAAGCACTGGTTCAGGACTTCAAGAACTACAGACAATCACACACAAAAAAACTTTAGATAACAGGAGAAAGAAATCTGCAGATGGTTGCCTGTCTGAGAGCTTTTATTGACAAAAATGGCCTGGTCTACTACAAAAGAATAATTTTGATTGATTCTCTCCCACTTATGAACATAGTCCATTTATTTCAGTAGCAAAGATAATGCCAATATTGCCCATACCTTTTAATTCTATTTTGATTTCAAAATAATAGGAATTTATGAAGAGTCCATAAACTCCCTCTGCCTCCAGGATTAGGGAACAAAAAGAGAAATATAGCAAGTATAAATTAAAGATAAAAATATCTTTGAATGAAATGTTAAGAAAAACTTTTCCTTCATAGAAATTAAAGGCAGACTGAGAAGCATCATTGTAAAAATGTGCTAGTCCAAGCTTCTCACTATGTATATGACAGAGCTGGACCTAGAATTGGGGGCGGCTTTGTCTTCCCAATCCACTGTAATGATCTCTTGCTTTGCCAGATTCCAATCTCATGTAGTTCTCTTTACTCCACCCCCTACTTATCCCCTCCCAAGCAATAGTTTCATTTTAGTTGAAGGAATGTAAACTAGATTTAAAAATCAGTGTATTAACTGTTTAAGTTATAGTGCCTCAGACTTATTTTCCTTGTCTATGAAATAAGGTGTTTGTACTAGCTTACTTTATCAGTTAACTTTCAATGGTATTATAATTCCATCAGTCTCTCTCTGTCCCTGCCCACTCTCAACCACTTATCACTTCTCCTACACTATCTTAATAGAACTGCTCAAGGCAGAAAGACAGGGTAACATCGTGTTTGGTAAGCTGATTGCTTTTTTCTTTAACATCTTCTTCTCTGATTTCAGATATGAGTACCTTTATACTGTCCTGCCCAATACACTGTGGCATCCATATTTCAAATATGTTGATGTAGAAGCATCCAAATACTTATTAACTGTTACCCACAGTAAGATATATAGCATTTATCTTTCAATTCAGTGCACATGCCTGCAAACTGAAAGAAAATTTTCTTGAGGTCATACTTACTCTTCCTATGTGTAATAAAATACAGTCATCCCTTGATATGCTGGGGGCATTGGTTTCAGCACCTCACATGTATAACAGAATATGTACGTAGGCAAGTCCTGCAGTCACAGAACCTGCGGGTATGAAAAGTCTGACCTCTGTATGTGCAGGTTTCACCTTCCATGAATACTGTATTTTCCATCCACGTTTGTTTGAAAGTAATCAGCATTCACACTGACCTGCACAGTTCAAATTTGTGTTCTTTCTCACAGACAACACTACCAAAAGGACAATCCAGATAAATGGAAACATTTTTATTTTGTTTTTCAGACCTGTCTTGGTCCTATCATTTTTGATAAACTTTACTCTAATAGTATTTCTAAAACAACCACGAATCAAGTCCTGACACAACCCTTTTCCCCCCAAGCAAAGTTATTTGTGTCTGGATACTTTTTAATGTGTTTCAGTGATTATGGATCCTGAATCAAGAATAAGCCTCTAAAGGAATTAATAAATTATTTTATGTTTTATATTTGTTAGGAGATAGACATCTGAAGATGAGAGAGTCTTTGTATGAAGGACCATTAAGCCAGTATCACAAATAGTTCCCCAAAAGCAGGTACATGAAGATCAGTCATTCAGCCAAGAACCCATTAACTAATTGTTACATGAACTATCCTCCTGTTTTTGAGATTTCTCCAAGGTCACACTGATGGATTGGAAGATATATAACAACCTTCAAAAGTATACATCTGCAGTGCCATTCATTTATTTAATGAACACTTACAGAGTACCTGTGATGCCTCTGGAAATGTTTTAAGTGCCAAATGCTAGGTATTAAAGAATGAGTAAAGTATATGTTTTCAGAGTGAAGAGATTTAGGAGGAAAGAAGCTCTAAAGATGCTAAAAAATAGCAATGCTGTCACCAGACTAATTCTAATGATGACATTTTCATTCACAACCACCAAAGAGTTGTTTCATTTCTTCACACTCATGTTTTGCTCTGAACTGCAGTAATGCTACTGACAAAGAAGCAGAAAGAGAAATCAAACCATAATAATTTTATTTTTTTTTGAAAATTATAAAGCAATCTTTAAAGTTACTTTGCTTTCAAAGTAATTAATTTAAAAATAGCAAGTGGAAAATCTACAGTTACTCAGGACCCATTATTCAGAATTCATTATTCACCAAAGCATTTAAAAGACTGTTTTGGCAGTGTAAAATAAGGAAAATAAAGCTTAAAAGAGAACAACTACTGACAGGAGATGTAGGTAATGTTCCCAGCGGGAAAATAATATATTATCATAAGAAGAAACACTTACCATAAAACATTCCAGAGGGGAGTCATTGGGATTATGTCCCCTTCCTCTATGTTTACACAATGTGAAAACAGCCAGTTACATCAGCTCTGAGTTTTAATTACACCTAATATAACAACCAGATAACCATTGACAATATCAGGCACTTTTCAACATGTTTTGCATGGGGTGGATAAAGCTGTAAGTCTGTCTTGTGGTCAGTTCTTCATACAATTTCAGTTAAAAATGTCAAAGGTTGGATTAGTTTATAGATATTTGCTGAAGATACATATCATTTTCAGTTAGAAATTGTTCATTTTCTTGATAATTTGGGACTTTAATTTTATGCAGGATTGTCCTCCTAGAAAGGCAAATTGATGCAATTGCCCACAGACCCTCAGGATCTATGAGGGGAGGGGAAAAAAGGCAGCTAGCAGCTGGTAGCTGAAATATAATTAGTGTCAATATGTAAAATACAATTAGTATCAGCATGCAACCTGCTCCCTAGGCCTGCCTCAGCTGTCTTTGGTCTTCTGCATACCTCTTTCCTCAAAGCATCTACCTGCAAACCAACTGCTGTTCTTAATGTCTGTTTTTACTAACTATTGGTTAAATCATTCACTATAACAAAATTTTCAGATTTAATCTGCATAAAGATATTAAGCATATAGAAGAGGTGATTTAATGATTTGTGCTG